>NC_000010.11:9555454-9706969 GCF_000001405.40 Homo sapiens | reverse complement strand
ATATTGATTTTTGGGACCCCTTCCTTTATTTTTCGAGAGTTTTTAAACCTCTGCATATATCCTTAAATAATATAATTCAATATTGCCTATTTTCGAACTCTATCTGTATAAATGGAGAAATTATTTTTTTGACTTACTTCTTTGGACTCAGTAATATATTTTTAGAACGTATTTCTTTTGCTACTTTTAGATATATTTAATTCATTTTCATAGACGAATAGGATTCCATGTATACATATACTACATTTAGCTACTTTATCGCTATTGTATATTAGGGTTGTTTCCAGCAATTGTTGCATTGAATGTGTTGTACATGTGTTCACATGTCCAAGTACTTCTTACGGTACATACCCAGAAGTAAAATTGTTGGATCATAGCAAATGTACATTTATAATTTTACTATTATTGTTCTAAATATATAAGCAGATATACCATTTGCATTACCATGCAAACATAAATTACTTAGGCACAAATCTAACAAAAGTTGTGTAAGACATTAAATAGAAAATTTAACAACTTAATTGAGAAAAGCAAAAGAAGGTTAAAGTGAAGGAGATACACCATAGTCGGTATTGGATATTTCTAAGCATTTCAGAATCTTCAGAAAGCTTGGTACTGTGATTGTGTGTATGCATGTATTTGTGTTTAATTAATTTATATCATTCTTTCATTTATTTAATTGTCTCTTACTGAGGTTTTTTATGTTTATTTATTTTTACACTCAGCCCATTCTTCTGCATAAGAGGTTTCTAAAATTTGCATTTTAGTGATAACTAAAAACTCTTTGCAATGCTAATGGTAATTGAATTTTCTTTTTGTCACAGGCTTGTTCAAATGTCTTCTCATTTTACAAATTATGTTTCCTGTTTCCCATGTAGTGGTCTAGGACTTTTATATATTATTAACACTAGTCATTTGTTAGTTATATGCATTACAAATATATTTACCTACTTTTATGTTTTCTTTCACTCTTAGGTATCTTTTAAATATGATTATTTAATTTTAATGTAATTAAATTGAGTTACATTTACTTTTCCTGTGCTTTTGTGACTTTTTAGAAAACCTTTCTCTAGATTGAGATTGTGAATATCTTCTATATTTTTTTTGAATGTTTAGCTTATTTTGAAATATTTTAAATCTTTGACAGAGGATTCAATTTCATTTCCATTTTTTTTTTTTTCGGTATGGGCATTTAATTGTCCCAGCATCAATTATTGAAAAAATCCATCATTTCCTCACTAATCTGCTCTGTCATATGTCAAGTATTTATATAGGTCTGTTTCTGAGCTTCCCATTAATTTCTTTTTGTCTATCCCTGGAACAATACAAAGTTTTGTTTATGATGATAGCTTTAAAGAGATTTAGAAAAGCAAGTTTTCTTACCATATTCTTCATAAAAAGTGGCCACTCTTAGGCCTTTGCAAATCTTCATAAAGTTTAAATCAATCTGCAGATACCACAAACAAAAGTAGGCATTTTTTTTTTTTTTTTTTTTTTTTTTTTTTGAGACGGAGTCTCGCTCTGTCGCCCAGGCTGGAGTGCAGTGGCGGGATCTCGGCTCACTGCAAGCTCCGCCTCCCGGGTTCACGCCATTCTCCTGCCTCAGCCTCCCAAGTAGCTGGGACTACAGGCGCCCGCCACTACGCCCGGCTAATTTTTTGTATTTTTAGTAGAGACGGGGTTTCACCGTTTTAGCCGGGATGGTCTCGATCTCCTGACCTCGTGATCCGCCCGCCTCGGCCTCCCAAAGTGCTGGGATTACAGGCGTGAGCCACCGCGCCCGGCCCAAAAGTAGGCATTTTTACTGAGATAACATTGCACCTATTGAACAATTTAGGAGGAATTACCACTTTTACAGTATCAACTTTTTAACCCATGAATACAATATATAAGTTTTTATTTTGTTCTTATTTTTCTCAATTGTTACAATTTTTAAAAATTATTAGATTCTTTTGTTAGATTTATGCCTAAGTTCTTCATTTTTGTATGCTAATGTGAATGGTAGATTTCTTAAATTCAAAGTTTAAGAACTTCCATATAATTGTTTAAGGGTATTAATATATAATGTTCTTTTCTCATTTCTGTTTTTTGCCAGGTTTTATTATCTAGGTTATAAAACTTTCCTTCTCCTCCTCTCCTCTTCCTGTTCCCCTTCCTTCTCCTCTTCCTTCTTCTTCCATTTGATTTGGTAGAAATCAATTTGGGCTTGTAGTTTTCTTTATTAAAAAAATTGTGGCTGCTGATTTAATTATTTAATGATTAGATAACTGTTAAGATATTCTGTATTTCTTAGTTTTGATAACCTATGATTTTCCTAACATTTTCCATTTTGTTTAAATTCTCAGATATATGGTCATAAAGATTTTTATAATATTCTGTTATTATGTTTTTAATGTCAGTAATTTCTAATGATTTCTTTTTTCCTGATATTTACTGATTTGTGACAAACCTTTTTTTAAAGAACTTATTTTCCTTCAATGTTAGATTATAATTTCACTGAGTTTAGAACATTAAATTGGCAATTATTATTCTTCAGCAAATGAATACAAGTGGTCTTGTATCATCCAGTGGTCTTGTACCACTGAGAAGTCAACTGTCTTTCCAGTTAATATTCTATTGAAGTAACTAGTCTTTTTATCTGACTACTTTTAAAATAATCACTTGTTTTTACAGATCCTTAGTATCACTAAAATATATCCATGTTTGAATTTTGTTTCATTCACATTGTTGGCAATAGTTTTACAGATCCTTAATATCACTAACATATATCTATGTTTGAATTTTGTTTCATTCACGTTGTTGGCAATATTTTAAGATAGTTCCAATCTTCTTTTTAGAGGACATGGGACTTCAAGAGCTATTGTTAAAATCTACCTCTTTAGCATTATGCATTGCTAGGAACTGACTCACCTTATATCTAATAATAACAAACAAATTTCTCAAAATATATCTTCATATCATATCTTCATAGGTGTGATTATATGATTCTCTCTGCCTAAAATGCTTTTCTTCTAAACACAATTCAAAATCAAATATGATCACATGTATCTCATAATCCAGGTGCATCTTTCAGTGATGCAATTTCAGTTTTTCTTCTGTCACTTGACACTAACCTTATAAATCACTCATCTGCCTACAGTACATTGAGCAGTTTGTAACTGAACATTGTTATTTATTCTAAAATATTTATTCAGTCCCTATAATGTGCCAGAGTCTATTCTAGGCATTGATGATATGCTGCCTGAAGAAAAATATAAACAAACATCCTTATTCTGAGGAGACTTACATTCTAGTAAAGGCGGTTCAGGGTGAAGACAGTCAATAAGCAACAAAAATAAATATACTATATGTAATAGTAGAAGAAATAAGGGTTATAGAGAAAATTAAAACAGTGAAATGTATTGGTGAAAAACAAACATGGGCCCAGCCATGGCACTGAAATTTTAAATGGCATGGTCAGTGGTGAGCCTCACTGAGAGGGAGATATTAGAGCAATATCTTGAAGGAAGGGAGCCCATAGCAATGCAAATTATATTGCAGGCAAGAGCAAAATTCTTGAAGTAAAATCTTTCCTGGCATATTAAAGGAACATCAAGAAAGATAGAGTTAAGTGAGACAGAAGAAAAATAATTGTTGAGTTGATAAAGGAATATATGTCTTGCCTTTTGTTAGCTGTTCCATTGATTTTGGACTTTAATGAATGAGGTGGAGCTAGAAGACTAGAAAACATTGTAACTTAATTTATATGGAATGCTAGGAAACATTTTAAACTAAATAATAACAAACTTATCAAACTTATCAAAAGTCATATTATGCAGCCAAAATAGGGCATAGAAATAAATGTATGGCTTTAAATGTTTATATTATAAAAGAATAATGACTTTAAATCAAGGATATAAGTTTCCACTTTTAGGAGCTAGAAAAAGAAAAGCATGTTGAACTAAATAAATCATTAAAGATAAACAAGGAAATACACTATAGAGAAAATTAAGGAAGCCACCATTCCTAAAAAAAGGTTAATGAAAGTGATAAATACCCAGCAAATCTGATGAAGACAATAAGTGGCAATCATAAATTATTAAAACCAGGAATGATAGAGGATGGACAAAACAGATTATAAAGAACTGAAAAGATAATAAATATTATTAACAACTCTATACAAATAAATTTGAAAACTTTGATGAAATGGATCAGATCCTTTGAAACAAACAACTTTCCAAAACTGACACAAGAAAAAGTAGAATATTAAAAACCCTATATCTATTAAAATAATTAAATTTTAATTAAATGCCTCTTTGCAAAGAAAGCTTTAGGTCCAAATAAGTTTGCAAATGGTATCCAATATTTAAGAAATAAATAAACACAGCATTACTGTACTCTTAAACTATTTCAGAAAATAAAGGAAGAGGGAACACTTTAAATTTTAATTAAATGCCTCTTTGCAAAGAAAGCTTTAGGTCCACATAAGTTTGCAAATGGTATCCAATATTTAAGAAATAAATAAACACAGCATTACTGTACTCTTAAACTATTTCAGAAAATAAAGGAAGAGGGAACACTTTTCAGTACATTTTAAGAGGACAATGTTATTCTGGTGACAAATCTGACACACATATTTTAAGAAAGGAAAATTAAAGACAAATAACATTCAAGAAATGATCTGCAAAAATTCCAAATGAAGTAACAACAATAAAATCCAGCAGTAGAAACAATAGATCATATATATGCTTATATGTGATTTATTTTAGAAATAGAAGAAAGTTTAATATCAAAATTTAATCACTGTCATTAATAGAAAAAAGGAGAAAAATATGCGATGGTCTTAATTGATGCAGAAAGTGTATTTGATAAAATTTAACATCTATTTAACATGTATCATAAAAGTATGAAGCAAACTAGTAATAGAAGGAACGTTTTCCACTGATAAAACTGATGAAGTGGAAAAGTTTATCCACTGATAAAACTGATAAAGTGGAAAGTTTATCCACTGATAAAGTGCATGTATGAAAAAATGTGCAGCTGACATCACACATGGTGAAATACTGAACACTTTTACCCTAAGACTGGGAACAAAATAACGAAGAATCAGTTCTAAACCCATCTGTTCAATATAGTCCCTTGCTAGTGTAATAAACAAGGAAAAAAAAGCGCATAAAAATTTTACAGGAAAAGTCAAACTGTTTTTAGTCACACACGGCATGATTGATTCATGGAACATGTTAAGGAAATAACATACTAGTTCCAAACTGGAACCAAAATAATTGTTGAGTTGATAAAGGAATATATATCTTGCGTTTTGTTAGCTCTTCCATTGATTTTGGACTTTAATGAATGAGTTGGAGCTAGAAGACTAGAAAACATTGTAACTTAATTTATATGGAATGCTAGGAAACGTCCATCACCAGGTGTTAAGAGAGAGCTCTCCATGGAGTTCTGTATGTTTTGAATTGGCTTTTGTTCTGCACTGTCTTTTCGAGGATATTTATATAGACAATACCCTCGGCAGAGAATAGTGTTTCCCCTGGCAGGCAGAGGGCAGATTTATTACCTGATTGAAGTTTTGAAGATAACATGTCTAGAAGGCAAAAGTTGAGCAGGTTTGCTAGCAACCCCTGTTAAAGATCAGGGATTCCTAAACTTGGGGTTCTTCATCTGAGACCCAAATTCTTTGTGTGTGCAAGAATGCACCTGGGATCATACCCATGGGACTTGGAGATGGGAGAAGAGAAACTCATGCAAATGTGATACTTATGCTGCCTGTTCTTCCATGAGTAATAAAAGTCCTTTATTTGTCTTCTGTCAGCATTTTAAAAACTGTGGCAGCCTAATTTGTCAGCTGACATGAAGGGTAGGTTCTCAGATCATTCCAGTTCTTGATACCAAAGAAATAGATAAGCAATGGAATATTTATATAATAAAATGTTATTTGGCAATAAAAAAGAAACAAATACTGACACACCAACAACAAGGATGGCTCTAAAAAAAAACAGTACTCTGCAAAAGAAGTCAGACACAAACTCTATATACAGTAAAAGAAATTTATATTAATTGTACAGCTGATAAAACTATGATGATAGAAATCAGAACTTTCGTTGTTTAAAGTGTTGACACCTTTCTAATTGAAGCCACATGAAGAAAAACTTTCTGTAGTAATGACAATGTTTTCTATCTTGATTGATATGATAGCACATGTATATATTTGCTAAAACTCATTGAATTTTACACTTAGGATTTATGAATTTTATCTCAATGAAAATAAATATGAAAATATCTGGGGCCTATCTTCAATGTGAGGTGGAGAGCACACCTCATTTTTTTCACAGCTATGCCCCACTGTAGTGATGGGTTTTTGTTTTTACTTATCCTCTGACCTATGGAATTACAGAGCTTCTCTTCATTTATTTCACTAAGTTTATCAAACTTTTCTTTATTAGACCTTCAATTCCCCATTCCATGGAAATGTACATTCCCAAAGTTCAAGATCCTCAAAGCATTCATCTGTTCTAGGTGATAGCTGGCTAAACACATACTGCTTTGTGCCTAAGAATAGTTTATCTCAGATACTAATACTTGGGGTTTATAAGAGGGACTATGATGGTGCCATTTTATGAGGTCTACAAAGAAACAGGGATAGATTAGGATTCCCCAGGATTTGTTGTGGATTCAGGATACACTTTGAACTTAGCTGCTCAGGTACTTCATGTAACTCTTGTAACTTTCTAACATGCTCTGAAGAAGAGGAAGAGCTGAGGTACTGATAATGGAGATGTTTTTTAGAGGTCAGTCTAAACTTGAGTCCATTTATTAGAGTAGAAGTAGATACACTATACCAGATTATTATAACACAAAGTGGATGTTAGCATATCTTGAAGCACATTAACACAAAATATATTAGATTCCACTTCATCCGTGCTTTGATTTGAGACTACAGAGTAGAAGGGCCAAAAGGCACCTCACTTGGTTTTTGCCTCCTTGAATTCATGCAGAAAATATCAATAACAGCAATTTTATTTCCCAAAATAGCTGCATTCAATCGGAGTGCTCAAGGATGTTGATTCTAAGAACCTATTTTAAAAGCCTTCAGAGAATTAAATTATGTTTAAATGGATGAGTGTCATTTTTTCTGCCCTGGGCTTGCCCTTCTAACCCTGGTTAAGCTGCTTTCAAGAACCTGTGGGAGCTGCGGTCAAAAGTGGAGTGAGGCACTAATGATGTCGGGTCAGAACTTTCATTTTTATCCCAGATAAACTCAAGCCTCTGGTATTTTCTGGCTTCAAAAGCTCTTAGCACAACAGGAGTTCTTAACCTTATATGATGTAGGTTTTATTTTTAATCCTTGTCTTTCCTTGTTTGACAGGCAAAGGGACTGTGCCTGGGTCATTTTCTGTGACTTTCTTCTTCTTTCCTAAATGCCCAGCAATTGCCAGGTAACATTTACCAGGTCACTCTGACCTCTGTGTGCAAAATAGTTTTTCTCTAGTGTAGGTGGGAGGATGGAGCCAAGGGTGCTTGCTAACTATTGCCATGTTTTAAGCCACGTAGGTGGAAGATATGTTTTAAAGGTGAACTGAAGTTTAACTTCAAATTCTGTGGCTTAGGCGCATTCAGATTTGACATACCCTCTTGATGTAATATACTGTGCCCCAGAGATGAAGAAAAATGCTATTAGAGATATCCTCTTATGTTTTGCGTTAAAATAAATTTTCATAATGCATTACGTTGGCACCAACTGTTAACAATAATGGGAATACTAATAGACATAGCAAGTATACTTAGTAGTGTGTGGAAAATTGCCAGTCTGAGCCAGTAGCATCTCTGTATATAAATAACTGGTATTTTTTACTTCTATGTGTTTTCTCATCACTAGTCCTTTTTTTTTTTTTTTACAATGTATTCATATTAAGGGGAAACTTATCTACCATTTCAATTTCTATTAACTTTTGAAAGAATTACTTGTGGTGAGGTCAGAGTATTCCCCATAGAGAGATTGCTGGCTGACCCTCAAGTGGCTACCCCAAAATACGAATTTACCTGGGTGTAGGATCCATCCATCAGTATTAAGCATTAAAATTCTCCTCTTGACAGCCCAAAGAGATGATATTTATGTCATATAACTGGCTCATATTAGCCATAATCACTGTATTAATGAATAGTATTAAGTGTAATTAAGAAATACAAGCAATGATGTATTTCTTTGCATGACGAGTCACTTTCTTGACATAGTTGTGCATTCATGGAAACAACAATAAAAAATATAAAGTTGATTGGAAATAAACCAAAACAATGAGAGCTATTTAGATAACTAAAATGGGTAAAGTGCTTACATGTATAACATGGATAGACTTGATATACAATATATAACACTTGAAGGTTATGGGTCAATACTCTGTTGTTTGTGTAGTGGTTAGATAGATACCTGGAGTGTTTACCTCCAGCTTTGTCATTGTTTTCTAAATTCCCTTACCAATTATTTTCTTACAAGCACTTACCAATTATTTTTCTGCTTGATAATTATTTTTTTCTAATATATATAATAGTAATCATTGAAGGATTCAAATGAATAGTAAGGCTTAATAATCAAAGAGGTTTTTGAGACTATGTATCTATACTATGGGATATTAATTCATATTATAGTTTAATTTTTAGAAAACAACTATGTTTATCTTATCGTATAATTTATGAGTCTATTTGGGGACTCATATCCATGAGTCCATTTATTTTTCCATTTCTGACTTCCTTTCAGTTTCCATTCTACGTTTTTCTTGGGTATGTATTTGGATGTGTTATCATCTCTTCTTTCCCCAAGGATAATCTGCTTTCCATACCCCTGACTACTTGATCTAGAAATCTGAACTCCTGTCATACACAAACTTCTTAACCCAGAAACTTGTTCATTATTTGCAATATATTTCTTTCTCCACATACCTCCCTCTTATAAGGTACCGTCTCTTAGATTTCAAAAATGACTTACTTCATCTCTTCACTGCCAGTACCCTAGTATAGGACAGTGTCCTCTCTTATCTAGAGCACCGAAACTAACTCTGCATTAAATATGCTCATTGAAATACTACCTGTGCTTTTGTTTCCTGACTTTATATATTCATTTCTATGAGATGAAGTCCTAGAAGACAGATCTTCAGACATGGGACTCTGGATTATTTTGATCTAATAATGACACTTTTGCTGGTGGGAAAAATGGGATAACTGTATTAGCGCTGTCCATTAGTACCACAGATATATACATTATCATATATGTTTTCTTGGGATGAAGGACAGGTAGAGTTTTGAAAAGCCAATTAGCCACTTGATTTGACCATCATGATAGAAGTAATGACTACAAAAAGTCAGGAGTGGGATAACTACATCTTCCTGCACTTTAATCCCCAAATCTCCCTAAGCATCCCTTGCCAGCCAAAGTAACCTCTCCTTTTCTGGCTGAGGAGAAAGGCTTCCATGAACATTTTATAGTCATCTCTCCAAGTTAGCAGCATTTCAAGGGAAGGCCTGGTCACCTCAGGAACCACCTCCATCACTTCCATTGCCTCTAGATCCACTTCAAGTAAGATCCAAACATTCTCCAAGAGGATTAGTGCAACGTGCAACCCAGGAAGAGACGGCTTGTTTGCCAAAATAATTGCAATATTTGCTCATTTATATTATCTTAAAACTGAGAAATATATATGATAATCAATTCAAGTGTTAGGCAAAAATAGATGGATTTTAATATTAGATTATGCAAAAGTTGTCAAGGCATTTACCATGAATCTAATGTGTTGATTCAAGGAGTCAGGACTTATCTGAAGAGTTTCCATAGTTGATTGCCTGAAACCTGGATTCAACTGCATGTAATTTATTTTTAATTTTTAATACTTTAAATGTTTTGTACTTAATGATGTTTAGAAGCAAACATCTTCCCTGATGTAAAAGATAGAATACATAGTTTTAGGGGGGGATACAAATCTTGGAGTGGACTAATCTTGTTTGCCCTGCATCCCTTGTTGAGGGTCAGGAGGACACTCTTGACTAAAGTACCAATAAATTGATACATAACTTAGTGAAGAGATCACTAGCATCTTTGAGAAAGTCTTTGGTGATTTTCCTCTACATGCTGTGGATAATGTTAGAGTTGACGGAATTAACACAGGCTTCCTGTTTTCAGTTGAACTGGTAGCATCCTAGAGTGGCAAAGACCAGATGTGATTCACCAGAAACAAAATGGGTATAATTCCTGTCATAATCAACAGGGTTCAAATGCCAGACAAAATGTTTTTGTCTCCAGAAAGCTGATCTAATAATAAAATAGATGAGTAAACTAGTAAAGTGTTACTTTATCTATAAAAGCAGAAATGTGTAGGTCTGATGGACAGCTTCCTGATTCATCTGAAAGTAATTATTTTCATTTTAAGATACATCTTCTGGCTTAGAACCAGGCCCTGGTAGATGATGCTCGGTCATAGAATATGAAGTCTATTAGTTATCCATTTCTGCCGTAATGAATCACCACAAAGTTGGTGGCTTAAAACAACACAGGTTTATTATTCTACAGTTCTGAAGGTCAGACATCTGAGAAGGATCTCATGGACCTAAAATCAAGGTGTTAGCAGGGCTGCGTTCATTTCTGGAGGCTAGAGGGGAGAATCTCTTTCCTGCCTTTTCCGTCATCTAGAGTTCCCTCAGTATTCCTTGGCTTGTGGTCTTGCATCTCTCTGAACATTTTTCCCTAATCACATCTCCCCTGTCTACTTTTAAGGACCCTTTTGATGACATTTAGTCCACTTGAATAATCCAGGATAACCATCCTGTATCAAGGTTAATTGATAACCTTAATTCCATCTGCAAACTTAATTCCCGTTTGCTATAAACCACATATTCACAGGATCTTTGGATTAGGAAGTGGGTATATTGGAGGGGTAGGGTCCATTATTCTGCTACATCTAATGACTGTGAGACCTGAGCTGCCCATCATGAACTGTGTCTTCCCTAATCCTCCAAGCCATAAGGTTGGGTGTGTGCAGCAGCAAAACAGTATGGAGTTGAAGTGGCATCTGCCAGCGTAGGTCCCTGACCTGGTGGGTCCCTGACAAAAAATCATTTGCATGAGCAATTGGCTTAGATTTCTATGGCACCTACTCTTGTATCATTGCCTTTTCCCCTAAGCACACACCTGTGACCACACAAAATTCCCTATGAGTATGTGATGAAGGAAGGGAAATCTCAGGCATGGTTTATAAATGATATTAGCCCCATTGAGGATACTCACTGATTGTCTTCTGAGTAGGTAGTATTTTAAGCAATGCATTTGGTTTTTCACTGTCTGGACAGAGAGATGGCCAGTGGTATGGATGCATGCTAATTCATGGGCAGTACGACTGGTGAGCCAGATGATGAGGGACTGGTATGGAAGAGATTTAACAAGCAGGGCTGGGTAAGACTCATGTGGATAGACCTCATGGATTGAGCCTATAGTTTGAAGATATTTGTGTCCTATGAGAGTGCTCATCAATGTGTCCTCATTAGAGTAAATTCGTATTTTGGATAAGGCTTATTTTTCTTGTTCACAATGCTCTGTCAGCACCTCCTGTGTCTGGATATTTTGGGTGCTTCAGTCATCATGTTAGCTCATGCAACATCATTTTAGATTGAGTCACTTATTTCACAGTAATAATGTATCAAAAGGCTCACACCCATAGAATTCATTCATATTATACCCATCACCCAGAAGTAGCTGGCATGGTAGCATGTTTACATGACATAGTGAAGATCCAGTCACAGATACCATTTGGAAAACAATTCCCTTCAAGTTTGGTACATTAGTCTACAAGATGTAGATATGCTCTGAACTAAAGAGCAGTAAGTGATGCTGATTCTCCCACCGCCAGTATACTCAGATGCAGAAACCAACAGGTGAGTGTGAGAGTTACTTCTCTCACAATGGCAGTAGCTGAACTGTGGAATTCTTGTTTTTATCTCTAAAATTTAGGCATAAGTTTAAGGTTGTTTTTGCTCAGGGGAGAAATTCTTCCATCACAGGGACATAGGAATGTTTCCAATGAATTACAAGTTGAGAATGTGACTTGCTATTTGGGCTCATCATGCAATGGAAATAACAAAGAAGGGTTTTACTGTGCTTGGAGACGTGATTGGTCCCAGTATCCAAAGAGATATTTTCTGGTCTACCATTTACACAACAAAGATTACGTTCAAAACTGAAGGATTTTTCTTTGTGTCTCTTAACTTTTCCATGTACAAAAGTAAAAAATTAATGTAAAGAAAACCCCAACAGAGTAACCCAATAAAGGTGGAACACCTGAGGACTCAGACCTTTCAGGAATAAAGTTAGGTTCTCTCCATGTAAAGAGCTTCTTCTGCCAGCAGATGTGTGACCAAGGGTCTAAGAGTAAAGTTAAAATGAATGGGGTCTGTAAGAAGTAAATTAAAATCAACTATACCCTTGTGACCAGTTACAGAAGTTCAGTGTCTGGCAGACATACACGTTGCCTTCTTATGTTTACACTAATATTTGTCTCTCTCTCTTTTTTTAAACTTCTCCTTTCTCCTTTCAGTTTATATGAAGCATTGGTTGTAATAACTTTATCATTTTGTCTTTAGTCTTCAGCTTATAGATTATTCACGTGGAAATGTGACTTGTGGATTCCAGAGAGGTGTGAATAGGGGGTGTTATGATAATGTGTTTGTTGTATCTCAGAGTTGGAAGCAGAATGTTATTTTAATTGTTCAGAATTCAGATATAGGTAGAAGAATGTATGCAGATGCTGAGTAGCTAAAGATAGACTGTGCTTGTTTTTCTTATTCTAAGCCTCAAGTCTACTTTTCTACCCTCTGTTCTGTGATGTTTGTACTAAGAGTTTGAAAAGTGCATTTCTGAGACCATCATGTCAGCTGCTTTTTTATTAGGTTCTTCCTGACAAAATATGGATTTTCAGAAGAAAGGGGGGATGGATTTTTTCTATTCGTAGTTTTTGTCAGTGTATTAGTTATCTGTTGCTGCAAAACAAAATATCACAAACTTTGCAGCCTAAAACATTGTACTCGTTATCTCATAGTTTCTTCAAGGTCATAAATCCAAGAAAATCTAACTGGTTTCTCTTTAAGGCTGCAGTCAAGATGCCAGCTAGACCTGAGGCTCAATCAGGGAAAATTCTGTTTCCAAGCTTACTCCAGCTATTAGCAGAATTCATTTCCTTATATAGGTAGGATTCAAGCTAGGTTGCCTCTTCAAAGACAATAACAAATAAAGAGACAGTAAAGTAAGCCTGCTAATAAGGTGGAGGCTTATATAACATAACTTAATCATGAGAGTGGTATCACATCATCTTTGCCATTTTCTGTTTTCTTTTTTCTTTTTCTTTTTTTTTTTTTTTGAGACCAGGTCTCGCTCTGTCACCCAGGCTGCAGTGCAGTGGTGCGATCTCGGCTCACTGCAACCTCTGCCTCCCAGTTCAAGCGATTCTCCTGCCTCAGCCTCCTGAGTAGCTGGGATTACAGGCACCTACCAGCACACCCAGCTAATTTTTGTATTTTTAGTAGAGACAGGGTTTCACCTTGTTGGCCAGACTGGTCTTGAACTCCTGACCTCAGGTGATCCGCCCACATCGGCCTCCCAAAGTACTGGAATTCCAGGCATGAGCCACCACACCCGGCTGCCATTTTCTATTGGCTAGAATGAATTCACAGTTCCCACCTGTATTCAAGAGAAGATGTTTTCATTTATACCTTTAACCTCCAGGCAAGGGTTTTATTTGCTGTGTCAATAAAACTAAATTGTGGTGATTGGAAAGTGGGGATTCTACCTTACACTTTCAAATGCAGTTGAAAATAAGTCCTTTCTGATGTGTTCCTAGGTCAGCTGTGAAGTCTCTTCTCTAAAGTCTGAGCGAAAGCCTTGTAGATGCTGTGCTTCCAGGTTGTGTCTGTATCTTTCCCAATCCTTGTTCTGTGAAAACCAGGAGTGCACTTTCCATGTTGATTTTCCATCAGTGCCTAGCACAGGTTTGGACACATATATTTTCAACAGATAATTTTGTATAACTGCTTGAACAAATTTAATTTACAATTATAAAAGAACCAAAGGGTGGCGGTGGCGGGGGGGAAACAAGTCTGTGAAAAACAAAACCTTAAAAAAATTCGATACTGGGAAGGTAGTGGAAGATAGAGTTTATCATGTTTTGAGTGGGCAGTCTAAACTGAGTTCTGCAAAGATGTTGGGAAAATTGAAAAAGAAACAGTGAACAGAGGGGAGTTTGAGGAGTAAAGAAGAGAAGGCAGTTGTTATGCCCAAGTCAGGAAGCTGCTGCTGTCCCTGGAACCCGTGAGCCTGTGATAGTACTGCCACTATTCACATTATGGTCCTGCTGTTGGACTGACACTGGTGGCCCTATACTAGAAAATTAGAAGTCTGGGCCAGGTGCGGTGGCTCACGCCTGTAATCTCAGCCCTTTGGGAGGCCGAGGTGGGTGGATCACCTGAGGCCAGGAGTTCGAGACCAGCCTGACATGGCGAAACCCCATCTCTACTAAAAGACAAAAATTAGTTGGGTGTGGCTTTGTGCTCCAGTAGTCTCAGCTACTTGGGAGGCTGAGGCAGGAGAATCGCTTGAACCTGGGAGGTGGAGGTTGCAGTGAGCTGAGATCACACCACTGCACTCCAGCTTGTGCGACAAAGCGAGACTCCGTCTCAAAAAAAAAAAAAAAGGAAGTTTCTACTCACATTGTGCTGCCATACCTGCCATTAATGCTTCTGGGCTCTACACTACTTACAGGCATCCTCAGTTGCTATGACTGCTGCTACTTCTAGAAACTACTTTCAGGGAAATCTTAGCCTTCCCCTTCTTTCTGTCTCCCAATATCATTATTATATCTCATTGAAAGTCAGAAAATCGGTTTCAGGATTGAATCCTAGTGATACTCTGGAGAATATAAACTGGCGTGTTTGGTGCCGAGGGATATTAGACACACTCGATTACAAGTTCTTGACTGATACTCATCCTGGGGTGCGTAGGTATTGAGAACTAGTTGGATCTTACCATGGATTGAGTAGGACCCTTGAAAGATTTAATTCATCCTCGCTAGGGCTTGTAGAAGTAATTGTTCTGTCAAGAAGAGAGAAGGCATTCACTGTATTTTGAGTGTAAAAGAGTAAACACAGAATTAGAGACTGAAATGATTTGGGAAGTGTTGAAGGAGCAGAAGTCAAGGAAGCTGCCTCTACAGGTTGTGGAAGCCAGTGCTGCAGGGCAAGGGATCCACCAACCAGGAATTCAGCTGCAAACACTGAAACAGTTCGCAAAAGCATGCTGGGAAGTTGTTACAATTCTTAAAAAACAACATCGACAACAACAACAAAACAGAAACAAACCCTAGAAGTTCTCACTAACCGCCTCAGTCTGCAGCAGTTAGCAAGTGGCTTCCACGAGTGCATGGTCATGCTGTCGGGAATCTCAGTCTGCACACATCTGTCTGCAACAGCCTCCTGAGAATGATAGTTTCTGCTTCTTTTCCATCTTACTAATGTATACATTTTCCTCTCATTGACAAACTATCCCAGGAAAAGAATTCAAGAAAATATAGCTGCTGGCTTTTCCTGTGCCACACAGAAGAGACCTTATAAGGGAGATGGTAGTGTTGCATTGGCCAAAGACCCCCCTGCACAGGGCTGGAGGAGGGCCATACATACACATATGGATGTCTGTACTTAGGACTGGGTGTATAAGAGGTTACTTGCTTTGTGAATTTTCACCCTGGCCTTGACTACAGTGAATTTTTTTTATCTAAATCTGGTTCTTCTTGTCGAAGAATTCCCAAGCTGCTTCCATTTCCCACCTGAAGTGACTTGTTCTCAGGGATTAGGCATTACAATTATTATTGGGACTTTGAGGAGAAGATTAATCTACCAAGAAATAACTGAAGAAAGGTTTTCCAGCCAGTATTTTATTCTTTCTTAGAAAAGCCTGTGTAAAAGGCAAAAGTTATACACTAAGTATATTATATACATATAGTCTTTTTTGAAAGTGAAACTACTGTAAAGCTAAAGCTTAATTATAGTCAGCAACACCCCACAACTTTTGACAGAAATATTTAGTGTCTTGCTATGAAATTGGTAATTTTTGTACATCTAATTCATGTTTACTTGGCCAACTTATAGTTCTCTTTATGTGGAAGTGATCTTTTTCAAGTTTTGTTCCCATGCCCCGCCCCCCAGGAGACACACGTTAGTGACTAAAGATTTTCACACTAAGATACGTTTCAAAAGGCAACCATTATTATAAAGGGGATACCTCTATCAAAACCCGTGAACCTGTGATAGTAAGAAGATAGTATCTTCATGGCTATTTTATTGCTCACCTATAGCCATGATATTTTTCTTCTCTTTTTCTTTTCATCAGGTTAAATAAAAAAGAAATGAAAGAAGACTTGGAGATGTCCTCTTTTGAGTAGCCTTTTTTTAGCCTAGTTTTTATATCCGCAATAAAGGAATCTGTCCTAGTTTACATGTAAACAGAAGAAATATCTTTATTTTCTAAAGAAGATGGATTCTATTTTTTAACACAAACCCCATTGAAACCAATTAATACTGATATATGACCTACATAATAGATTCTGAACTCATTTTCCCCCTTTTCTAAAGCAACGCAGTTGTTCATGTAACTTTGTATAGATTCCATGGGCACTTTTCTAACTGTGTATGTATGACTTGAAATAGGTTTCCAAAAAGCTCTGTATCACGTATTTCCACAGTACTAAATATTTTTAAGAAATCGCGTCTCCCATGCTGCTAAACTCAATTTAGATATTTGGGCTGGCCATGTTTAAATATCTGTAGCCATATATGTTGACCCTGTGATAAGATTGCTAAGCACATGTTCCTTTAGAAAAATTGTGAAAGAAAAATGCCTTGATCTTTATCTGTTCCTCTGTCAGAAATCTGTACCCTTTGGTTTTGTTCTGGTCTTTGTATTCTCAGTTTTTTCCTGTTGAAGACTATTTCTCTGTGACCTTACTCTTGAGTGTCTACCATTGTGACACTGATGTGGATAAAGAATCGTCCCATTTAAGTGTTGTTCCACCTCTGCATCTTCAAAGAAAGACTTTTGAGAGTGAATTTCAGGAGCCGTACCCAATGGAAATAATCTCTGGAGGTGAAATTTCCAGCAACATGCTTAATGCTGGAAAAGATATTTTTGTCAGGGGAAACCTGTTTACAAATCAGACAGACACACATAAATAACTAGCCATGTTATCAATATAAACACTTTTGAAGCAATGATCAGCCCTTTCTATTTCTTCGAACACTCATCAGAGCAGAAATTTTGCAGTGTCACCTTGATGATCACATGATATTATTGAACTACAAGCATTTTAAATCTCAGGATAACTTCCAGAAATTTGGTGATTTCTTTGTAGGATCATATTGCCTGTAAAGACTGATCCAAGGGCTTTAGTTGATGAACTACGCCAATGTCTGTGTCTGTATATGTCTCTCTGTTCTTCTATCTATGTCTACCTCAATATTTGCTATGGGCATTTTTCTTTTCCTCCAATTGAATATCTGTATCTTTTTTGTGTGTGCAGGACATTACTGTGTAATCACCTCTCTAAGTGCTACGCCTAGAATGCATCCTTGGCATTTCCCTTTCCATAATACCTCATAGCTAACTAAATTCAAATTCCTTTGGAGTTTATCCCCCACATATAATAATATGCTATAATGAATGCCCATGAAACCTAACTTAAGAAATGAAACATTTGCATATTATGATGGGTTTCTTGTATATTCCTTCGCAATTGCATATTTCTCCCTCCCACATTCCCAAAGATAATATCTTCTTTGATTTCTTGTTGATCATTTTTATTGCATTCCTTTTTTCCTTTAAATATATGTGGGCATGTTTAAATATATGCATACATATGTATATATGCATATATTTAAACCCTCTACATAAGTGGAATTATACTGTGCTGTAAATTACTTTTTCCACTCAAAATTGTTTTTGTGCCAATTAAGATGTTTGGCAGATTTTGTTTTCCTAAATGGCTGTGACTGTCTTTTCCATCTTATGTGCTCTTCTTACCATGTGACTTTGATACTCCTCTTGAGAGATGTCTGGGGGTCCCCTCCTCCTGAATCTGGGTGGGGAACTTTGGATTGCTCTTACTAAAAGAGTACAGCAGAAATGATGCTTTGTGATTTCTGAAGTAAATCATTCTGCCCTCAATATTGGGATGGTTGCTTAAGGGAAACCAGCCACTGCGAAATGAGGAAACCAAAGTAGGTGGTGTGACAAGACTACATGAAGAGGCCTAATGGAGAGTAACCGAGGTATCAGCTGACAGCCAGCCTTGGTGGCCTTGTAAGTGAGCATGCCTGTGGATGATAATGGTCCCCAGCCCTCTAGTCTTCCAACTAAGGCATCAGACGAAGTAGAGAAGAGATCAACCATATCCCCCATGCTTTGTTTAAATTCTGACACATTAAAACCAAGAGCATGATAAATGGTTGTTTTACATCACTAAGTATTATAGAAATATGTTCTGAAACCATAGTAACTGGAAAAACATGTATCTTTCTAGTTTGTGATTGCTGTATGTTATAATGATTACTGTACATTATTAAAGTATTTCTATATATCACAGTTTATTAATTTATTCCCCTAGTTGGTGAACACCTAGTTTGTTTCACTCTTTTGCTATTATAGTTGAAGCTACTAATAACATCCCTTAAACACATCTCTAGTATTGGTTTGCAGGAGTTTCTCTGGTAGCATAGATTTAGGGGAAAAATTGCTTGGGCCACAAAATATGCATATCTTTAAACCATATTTAACTAAAAGATTATTGAGGTTGTACTAATTTATACTTCCACTGTAAGTATATGGGTTCTCATTTTTTCATAACTTAAATTTGTTAGTTTTCAGTCTTACTAACTCTTGCTTATGAAGGTGTATCACTGGCTTAAAATTCTCTAATTATTCTTGAGGTTAAACATTATTTTATGTGTTTATATGGTGGTGAATAACATGTAAATATTTTCCAATGGAAACCAATTAATAAATCACTTTGATAGACCAGATTTAATTACATGTTTTCTCTATATTAACTGCTTTGTATTGGCTAATTTTTAGTTTTGCTACAATTGATATTAATATTTAACCTCATAATTGAAATTGACTTAAAATGTTCCTTTCTGCTCATGGAATAAAACCTATATTAGTATCACAACATGTTTTATGGAAGACTCCCATTTTTATTTTTCATGAGATTGGCCTTATATTTTTTCTAATGTTGAGATGTTTAACTGAACTCACCTTTAAAATTTCTAGACCATTTGTCATTGGAATATGTTCAATTATAGATGCAAATAGTTTAACGATTACAGATCTATTTTCTTGTGTCAATTCAGTGTATTGTATTCAGTATATCATATAAAATAATTCATTTTATTTATATTCAGGTTTGTCTGGATGTCATTAATTTCTTTCTGTGGTGTTTCATAGTTTTCAGAGTACAAGTTTCTGCTTCTTTTATTACATCTTTTCCTAAATATTTAAGTTTTTGATGTTATTGTAAATGAAATTATTTTCTTACTATCATTTTCAGATTATTCATTGCTAGTATATGGAAATACTTTTGATTATTTTGTATATTGGCCTTGTGCCCTGCAACCTTGCTAAATTATCACCATATAATATTAGTGTATAGTAGTGGATTCCTTAAGATTTTCTGTATAAAATATCATGTTCTCTGCAAATGGAGATACTTTTAGTTTTAATTTTTCCAAGTTGGGTGAATTTTATTTATTTTTCTTTTCCAATAGTCCTGGCTAATACCTCCAGTAAAATATTGAAAATAAATGACAAGGGCATACATCCTTGTCTCGTGCCTGATTTAGGGGCAAAGCCTTAAGTCTTTCACCACCAAGTATGAAGTTCCACGTGGATTTGTTGTAGATGGAGTTTAAAATTTAAAAAAAAATCCATTTTATATTTAATTTGTTGAGATTATTTTTAATCATAAGGATATTGGATTTTTCAAGGTGCTTTTTCTGCATATATCAAGATGGATAATCATGTAGTTTTTGTCTCTAATTCTATTGATATGGTTTATTATGTTAATTGATTTTGGTTATTAAACCAACCTTGTGATCGTGGAAGAAATCTCAGTTGCTCATCATGTGTAATTCATCTTATATATATTTTTGCATTTAGTTTACTAGACTCTTGTTGAGGATTTTCCTACCTATATTCAAATGAAATACTGCTCTGTGGTTTCCTTTTCTTGTAAGGAGAAGGAAAAACAAGGGTGTACTGGTTTTGGTGCCAGGAAGTACTGGCCTTATAGAATAAATTGGGAAGTATTTCCTCTTCTAGTTTTTAGAAGAGTTTTTGAAGAATTGGTATTAATTATTCCTTAAATATTTCATAAAATTTTGAACATTCAGAGAAAAATAATAGACACTGGGGACTCCGAAAAGGGAGAGAGTAGAAGAGGGGTAAGGGTTGAAAAATTACCTATTGGGTACAACGTGGATATGATGTTCAGTATTTGGGTTGGAGCCCAAACCCCACGATTATGCAGTATGTCCATGTAAAAAAACTGCACAGTACTCCCGAATCTATTTTTTGAGTTTTTTTTGTTTGTTTGTTTTTTTAAATACAGTGTCTTGCTCTGTTGCTCAGGCTGGAGTGCAGTGGTTCAGTGTCTGCTGACTGTAGCCTCCACCTCCTGGATTCAAGCGATTCTCATGCCTCAGCTTCCCAAGTAGCTGGGATTACAGGCATGTGCCATCACATCCAGCTAATTTTTGTATTTTCAGTAGAGACGGGGTTTCACCGTATTGGCCAAGCTGGTCTTGAACTCTGGACCTCAAGCGATCCACCCTCCTCAGCCTCCATAGTGCGAGGATTACTGGCATGAGCCACCACACCCAGTCACCTCTGAATCTATTTTTTAAATATGTTGTACAATTTACCAGTGAGGTGATCTGGGCCTGAATTTTTCATTGTGAAAGTTTTAAAAATTACTGTTCAATCTTTCTTTGTGTTCAGATTTTCTATTTCATTTTGAGTTAGTAGTTTTTATTTCTATAATTTTCATCTTTTATTTCATTTCATGTCCATTGTATTCTCCTATGATCATTTATATTTTTGCATGGTCAGCAGTTACATTTTTTCTGTCATCTCTAATTCTAGTAGCTGAGCCTTTTATCCATCTTTATTGGACAATCTAGCTAAAGTTTTATGAATTTTGTTGACATTTTCACAGAATTATCTATTTTAGAGATAATTATAATCTAATCTACATAATCTAGAATCTTATAATCTAATATAGTGTTATTATTGATAGATTTGGATTTATATCTGTCATTTTATTCTGTTTTTTTTTTACATATTACATGTCTTTTTATGTTCCTCTGACTGCATTACTGGTTTTTTTGCATTAAGTGTAAATAACATTTTAATTTATAAACAATTTGTGCACTATATTTTTTAAAGTTTTCTTTTTCTAAGGTTCCTTCTCTTAGGACTTATTCTAGTTTCTTATCAATATCTACTTCAGAGTTACACCAACTTAATTCCAGTGAGGCCTATGAGCGTTATTTCTATTTTTTTTTAGCATTTTCTGTGCTATTTTTATGCATGCTACATCTATATATTATAAATAGAGTACATCATTGTAGTTTTACTTTAGATAATTATAGGTTTTTTAAAGATGTTGAGAGAAGAAAGGAGAGAAAGTATATATTTATAGAGTTTATATTAGAAAAATGTTACCAGTTCTGTGTATTTGTTCCTGTGAATTCTAGTTATATCATGTCATTTCTTTACTCAAATACAACTTTGCTCGTACCCAACTCCTTTGTTCTGTTATTGGCAAATGTATTAAATAGCTATAGATTATAGGCCCAGCAGCACAGTGATATACATATCATGTTATATAATTGCTTTTTAAATCAGTTAAGAGAAGAAAGGGTAAGAAATATGTAGCTAACAGTGTTTTAAATTACCTACACAATTACTGTTGCCAGCACTCTCTGTATGTGTGTGTATGTCTGTGTATGTGTGCATGTATGTGTGTATAAATATATATTTATTTAACATTTAAATATTTAACATATTTATAATAGCTGCTCAAAGGCAAATTACTTTCTAGGATCACTTGTTCAGCCTGAAGAACTTCATTTAGTATTTATTATAAAGTTAGTTTGATAGCAATGAAATCTCTGTTATTTTTTCACTTTTTAATGAGAATTTGCTATATGAGATTCTGGGCTGAGGTGACAATTCTTCCCCACTCTACTCCTTCTTCCTAAAGCCCTTTAAAGATATCATCCCACTGCATTTTGTCCTTCATAGTTTCTTATAAGAAATTGACCAATCTTACTGGGATTGACTTTTTCATAAGTCATTTTTCTCCTGCTCTTTTTCAGATTTTCTTATCATTGGCCTTCAACATTTTTATCAGGATATATCTGTGTGTGAGTATCTTTGGATTTATTCTGCTTACAGTTAATTAGTTGAGTTTCTTAAGTCAATAAATAAATAATGCATAATTAATATACAAATTTATTTTAATAATTTTAAAATTAATTAATATTTAATTATTTTAATAAATAATTTGTATATTAATTTTCTTATCCGTTATGTATTTGAATAATTTTTGTTCTACTTTCTCTCACTTCTGTACTTCTGGTATTCCCATTACATGTATATGCACTTAGTGGTGTCTCATACTTCTCTGAGGTTCTATATATTTCCCTTTTTTTAAAAAGAAAACTATCTCTTTATTAATATTCTTTATTTGAGGAGACATTGTCATTATATCTTCTTTACTTCTTTAAATGTGGCTTATTTAGTTCTTTTAACATATTTATAATAGCTGCTCAAAGGCCGTTCCTATTGCTTATCATTCTTTATTTCACTGTGTAAGTTACACTTTTTCATTTCATTGCATGTTTCATAATTTTTGTTGAAAATTGGATATTTCAGATAATATCTTCTCTCAGAATGACATCTGTGCCTTACAAGCAGGGTGCTGTAGCCTCTGGGCTTCATGGCTCACCATTCATGACGTGGGGCCTCCATTCTTTAAGTAAGCTGAGGCAAGGGTAATTGTGGTCCAGCGTTCTCTGCTTTCCACTCCTGGGGTAGAGCTTCACCTTATGAGTGTAGGCTGAGAGAAGAAAGGGAGCCATTCTTTCCTGGAATACAGCTTCTGTAAGATGGAGCTGGAGTTAGTGTGAGGAGGTGAGAAATGCTGCCTCATAAACGGTGCTTAGCTGCTCCCTAGGCACTGCTTAAGAATCACCAAATGCCTTCAGGGAAGAATTAGCCTGGGATGTTGGGCATCCATCAAAGAGTCTCCTTTCTTTTCAGAACCTTGCACACTCACAATGTGAATCCTTGGTAAATTTCTAAGGAATATATATTTGTGTGTGTGTGTGAGTGAATGTGAGTGTCAGAGTGTGTGTGTGTGTGTTTATTTTATATAACTTAACCATTTGATTTTAGTAAGAGGTTAGCTAAAAGATAAAAAAATCTGAAGTTTAGAACAACCTGATAAGGAGCATTTCATTATTTCTTTACATATTTTCTAGTTACTTTTAATTTTCTTATTTGAATCATACAAAGACATGAGAATTACTCTCCTATCTCTCTCTCCCAATAAGTCATTAAAATTAAACCTATAGGTTACACAGAACAGTAAATCTTTCTAGGAAGGTGGATCATCAGTGTGAGCTTGTTACACTGATTTTCATTTCCCCTTGTCACTTTTTTAAAACCTGGAGTTTGTATTTCTTTCTGTAAATTTAGCTATGTTTTAATGTTATGCATACTTCAGAGGATATTTACAATATCTAGTCCACCATGTTGCCATATAGGGAAGTATTAACTCACTCTACAGGGAGCAGCCAATGTATCTTTCCATGAGGGAAACCACAGGCTTAAAATCCCTTTAACGTCCTTCCAGTGATTGTAGGATTAAGATAAAGTTTCTAAACAGGGACAGCCAGGCCCTGCATGCATATTTCTATTTCTGCTGTGGCTTTATTTAGTACTGTGTTTTATGTGACAGTTTATTCTCCAGGAATTACTGCCTTCCATTACAATTTTCAGTGATGTCAAAGGGCTTTTCTACATGCTACTGTCTTTGAATGCTCTTCCATCTTTCCGTCATGTATTAGGCTGTTCTCATGCTGCTGATAAAGACATACCCAAGACTGTGTAATTTATAAAGGAAAGAGGTTTAATGGACTCACAGTTCCACATGGCTGGGGAGGCTTCACAATCATGGCAGAAGGCAAGGAGGAGCAAGTCATATCTTACATGGATGGTGGCAGGCAAAGAGAGAGAACTTGCGCAGGGGAACACCTCTTTTTACAACCATCAGATCTTGTGAGGCTTATTCACTCTCATGAGAAGAGCATGGGAAAGTCCCGCCTCCATGATTCAATTACCTCCCACTGGGTCCCTCCCTTGACATGTGCGAATTGTGGGAGGTACAATTAAAGATGAGATTTGGGTAGGGACACAGTCAAACCATACCATTCTGCCCCAGTCCCTCCCAAATCTGATGTCATCACATTTCAAAACCAATCATGCCTTCCCAACAGTCCCCCAAAGTCTTAACTAATTTCCACATTAGCTCAAAAGTCCACAGTCCAAAGTTTCATCTGAGACAAGGCAAGTCATGTCCACCTATGAGCCTGTAAAATCAAAATCAAGCTAGTTACTACCTAGATACAATGGAAGTACAGGCATTGGATAAATATACCCTTTTCAAATAGGGGAAATTGGCCAAAATGAAGGGGCTGAAGGTCCTATGAGAGTCTGAAATCCAGTGGGACAGTCAAATCTCAAAGCTCCAAAGTGATATTCTTTGACTCCATGTTTCATATCCAGGTCACACTGATGCAAGAGATGGGCTCCTATGGCCTTGGGCATCTCTACCCCTGTGGTTTTGAAGGGTATAGCCTCCCTCCCAGCTGCTTTCACAGGCTGGCATTGAATGTCTGCAGCTTTTCTAGGTGCACAGTGGAAGCAGTTGGTGGATCTACCATTCTGGGGTTTGGAAGATGGAGGCCCTCTTCTCATAGCTCCACTAGGTGGTGCCCTAGTAGGGACTCTGTGCCGGGGCTCCAACTCCACATTTCCTTTCAGTACTGCCCTAGCAGAGGTTCTCCATGAGGACCCCACCCCTACAGCAAACTTCTGCCTGAGCATCTAGGCATTTCCATACATTCTCTGAAATCTAGGCAGAGGTTCCCAAACCTCAGTTCTTGACTTCTGTGCACCCGCAGTCTCAACACTATGTGGAAGTTGCCAAGGCTTGGGGCTCACACCCTCTGAAGCAACAGCCTGAGCTATACCTTAGCTCTTTTTAGCTGTGGCTGAAGTGGCTGGGATGCAGGCCACCAAGTCCCCAGGCTGTACGGAGCAGGGGGGCCCTAGGCCCAGCCTGTGAAACCATTTATTTCTCCTAGGCCTCCTGGCCTGTGATGGGAGGGGCTGCTGTGAAGCCCTGTGACATGCCCTGGAGACATTTTCTCCTTTGTCTTGGTGATTAACAGTTGGCTCCTCCTTATGCAAATTTCTGCAGTCAGCTTGAATTCTTCTCGGAAAATAGGTGTGTGTTTTGTTTTTTTTTTCTATCACATCATCAGGCTGCAAATTTCTGAACTTTTATTTTCTGTTTCCCTTTTAAAACTGAATGCTTTTAACAGCACCCAAATCATTTTTGAATGCTTTTTTGCTTAGAAATTTCTTCTACCAGATACCCTAAATCATTTCCCTCAAGTTCAAAGTTCCACAGGTTTCTAGGGCAGGGGAAAATGCCACCAGTCTCTTTCTAAAACACAGCAACAGTCACCTTTACTTCAGTTACCAACAAGTTGCTCATCTCTATCTGAGACCACCTCAGCCTGGATTTCATTGTCCATATCATTATCAACATTTTGGTCAAAGCCATTCAACAAGTCTCTAGGAAGTTCCAAACTTTCCCACATTTTCTTATATTCTCCTGAGCTGTCCAAACTGGTCCAGCCTTTGCCTGTTACCCAGTTCCAAAGTCACCTCCACATTTTTGGGTATCTTTACAGCAGCAGTAAATTGGTACCCACTCTACCAGTACCAATTTACTGTATTAGTCTGTTCTCATGCCACTAATAAAGACATACCCAAGACCAGGTAATTTATAAAGGAAAGAGGATTAATGGACTCACACTTCCACATGGCTGGGCAGGCCTCACAATCATGATGGAAGGCAAGGAGGAGCAAGTCATGTCGTACATGGATGGCGGCAGGCAAAGAGAGAGAACTTGTGCAGGGGAACTCCTCTTTATAAAACCATCAGAGATCTTGAGACTTATTCACTATCACAAGACCAGCATGGGAAAGATCCATGATTCAATTACCTCCCACCAGATCCCTTCCATTACACATGGGAATTGTGGGAGCTACAGTTCAAGATGAGAATTGGGTGGTGACACTGCAAAACATATCTTGTCACTTAGTTAATTTTCATTTTCCTTCAGATCTCAGTTCCAGCTTCCTTTTCTCAAGACTTACTTTCTCTCTTCCTGAGTTAATCATTATCTCTTCTCTCACCAAGCTACTGTTTATACACAGTCATAATTACATATTGAAATTTCATATGTGTGTGCAATTATTTGATTTATATCTCCTTATGTAGATTGTAAATTCTCTGAATTCAGATAATGTATCATTTTATAAATGTGTGTTAACCCCGACACTCTAAACACTTAATACATGTGTATATATTGAATATATTGAAGTAAACATAAATATTAATATAATCACAATAAATATAAAAGGGGCCACTTTTGAATAGTAAATATCGGATTTTTAGTTTTTCTTGTTATGAAGAATTTCCATTGTAAAAGAGGTCCAGAAATGAATCTTGGGCTAGCCTGGTCTCTGAAGTTAGGAATTTAAGTTTCCCTAGTCAAAGAAACATGCTGACCTGTTCTTCCTTCTACCTCTTTTATTCTTTATCTGTGGGATTATATTTCCACATGAGTGTGCCATTTTAGCAGAACCTCCATCCTCCCAAAACTCCAGGAGTGGATGTGAATGTATGGTGCCCTGCAGTCTTTGGTGATGGTTATTGTGTATGGCGGCTGCTCAAAGGCAATGGTAGCTTATTCTTAGCAAGAGGGCAGAAAAAGCAAGGTGTTCCTGCAAACTCTGGTCTTACCCATGGAGGAAGAATATGTGTTCAGGATCCACAGCCTATCAAATAACCCAAGCCCCACCAAACAGGCCAGGCAAAGCCTTCACAAAAAGAAATTTCTGCATTTTGTTCGAGCAATAAAATTGTTCACCAGGAAATGCAGAAAACAGTTTAGTGAAGAAACCAGTAATCAGAGAAGAGTGATGGAATATCACTTGTATCAGTTGTATGACTGAAAATGGGAAAATATATAGAAGTAGGTACCTAGTTATATCTGCAGTTCTTCCTGCAAATAACAGAATATATCCATAGGAAACTACCATCGAGATGAAGAAAATGGTTAAAACAAAAGGGAATCAAGTTGAGATTGCTGAAGAAACTTTGATGGAACAGGACTTCATGATAGTAACACAGAGACAAGTGTGGTGTTACAACAGGGCTTTTCCAGGGCAGAAGAAAGAACCCTATCTGTATCAGAAATTGAGTATACAAAAGTGATGTTGTAAGAAGAGAGACCCGGTACTCATGAATGGAGGGCTGAAGGTCAGTAGCCTCAGCCACAGGTTAGCATGGAGGCACCATGACCCAGTTCATTCTACTATTATGAGTGGCTCTATCTTAAACCCTATGAGGTTGTCAATAGGATTTTGGGGTCTTAATTTAATGGACAGGAAAAATCTTTTGTTTTTTTCCTCATTTTCCTTCACCCAGTTAAATCCTACTTTCTTTCAGATCTTAGTTCAAGCTTCACCCTCTCAAGAATGTCTTTCCCGACTTCCTGAATTAGTCTCATTTCCTCCTCTTCCATGTCTTCATTAACTCATTCAATACATTATTAGTTTTGGGTTTTTGTTTTCTTCTGTTGAGTATGTATGTGTTGGGGGATGGGGAGGATACCTACTGCAACACAGATCCTAATCCAGAAGCTGGTGACATAGAAGTGAATGACATGTCTTTTTCTTGGAGACTTCTAAGTCTAGAGTATCTATCTGCTACTGATTGCACAGACAGAAGAGTTTTGTGTGCTATGATATGTGTGCAGCAGTTGAGGCTCTGTTTGGGGAGACAAAAGGCAGCAAAATGAGCTTGAGAAATGTTACTAGAAGCAGCATTTGCACAATTTTGAAACTTGGTGAAATAACCTACAGTCTTCGAGGTTTTGTCATACTGGAAAAGCAAAGGGTAATAGGAAACCCACTGGGTCTGCGGATCTGTTGAGTTGCACTTACTATTGAGTTGTGTTTAGTCTATAACCAGGCACTAAAAAGCAGAATTCTGCTTAACAAAGTGAAAAATTATCTACGTGTCAGTAACAGTTTCATTTGGGACATTTTTAACCCACAATATCTGAAGAAATGAAATGAATAAATTAGAAGCAACAAGAATCTATATGAGTAGTGCTTTTTCAAAAGCACAATTGGAGAGATTGTTCCAATATAAATGTAGAATTCTTGCTAATTCTTGGGCTACCCTGGTGAATTTGCATTAGGCAGAACACTCTCCATCGCATAGCAGCAAGAGAGGAAAGACCTGATTCAAACACAAGGAGCCCTTCTTGTTCTGGAACAGGTCCTTCATCAGGACGAACCAGGTTGGATCCTAACAGAGGCCTTTTTGCCAGAGCCTGGGTTTTCATAATGTGAGTGATTCTTTCTCCTTGTAATTACTGATAATGTTGCTGGGTGAACTGAAGCCACTTTGAATAGGGAATTAGATGTGACATCTCTCTGCTGCAGAACATGTAAAGACAGCAGCCTTGCTATTTACATCACACAGACTTCAAATGCAATTTTTGGATCAGTGCTCCCTGTTCTCATTTTCACGTTTATCCATTCTCTCCTCATTTGCCTTGTGCGATATACTTTGCACATTTTCATGTCATCTGCACTCTTTGGAATTATTATTCAAAATCAATACTATATATACAATGACTCCAACTAAACTTTCCTTTGAAGTATTCATCATTTGCCAATTGTGAATAATGAAATAACTACTTTTTTTACGCATTGCTTACCATAACCTCAGGAATGACTTAATCCATTAAAAATGCACAGTTGCTTGATATTTAACCTAAATGTATTGACGCTAGGATAGAAAAACATCACTGCTTTGCCATAGATCTGTCCACAAGTTCAGAGTTTTGTGGCTACAGGAACTGGCAGGTCAATCATGGGGACCAATTCAGTGACACGTATACCGTGGGAATTATTCCCTGTGGCAGGCCATTTGTGAGTTTTCAAATATTTTTTTCAGAACCTTTCCTTGGAATCAGAAACAAATTTGATATATACTTTTTTTTTTTTTTTTTTGAGACGGAGTCTCGCTCTGTCTCCCAGGCTGAAGTGCAGTGATGCAATCTCAGCTCAATGCAAGCTCTGCCTCCCGGGTTCACACCAGTCTCCTGCCTCAGCCTCCCGAGTAGCTGACACTACAGGCACCCACCACCACGCCCGGCTAATTTTTTGTATTTTTAGTAGAGACGGGGTTTCACCGTGTTAGCCAGGATGGTCTCGATCTCCTGACCTCGTGATCCGCCCGCCTTGGCCTCCCAAAGTGCAGGGATTACAGGTGTGAGCCACCGTGCCCAGCCTGATATATACTTTTTAAATTATTTAAAATATTTTTAAAAGCGTTTATTCTGAAAAGTTCTAAGTATGCCTTATAAAGGTAGCCATTTCACATCTTCTGTAGTGAACTTTTTTCTTACTTTGTCATCAGTTGTCTACTCCTTGAGACCAGTAGGCTCTTTTCTTGACTTCTTTTGGTCTATTATTTCTATATTTAAGGACGTGGTCCAGTTTTTGCAGTCTAGCTAAACTGAAGAGTTCAAGAGTTACTTTGGATTAACCATTTGAGTTTTAAAAGCTTACCTGACCCTTCCTTTTAAAGTTTCTTGAAAATTTCTTTTAGTGAATTGGAAAAGTAAATTGCTGTTCTCTCATTACCCAGAGCTTTGTACTGAACAAAATTGTACTTAATTCTAACCTTGGATTACCTGAAGTTTGAGTGGGTTCAAATCTCAGTATATATTCCCTTTCAAACCAAATTGCTACCAAGAACACTGACACCTCCAGATGCTGTTAGGTTTTCTAAAATCACCCTGAAACTCTTTATCATGTGCACTGTAGAAAGAAAAGCAACAGAATATCCTACTGAGCTGAGATTGAGGTAAAGAAGGGGAACAGCTGTTAGAGCCTTTTTCCTGTTTCCTTAGAATTAATGTAGGGATGTGTCCTATAGTAAAATATCAAGAGCTTTGTTCAAAATAGTTTTAATAAATTTCAACAGGAAAATGAAAGGAGAATAATCCTTGCACATAGGGGCCACTTTAAAAAATCCTTTTAAAAGTAAGGAGAATTATGTTTTACTTTCTCTGATTGGTTTGTGCAGAAGAAATCTAGAAGTCCTCATATCTCTGTCTGAGTTTTAATTCCCATTTCTTAGATTTGAATGAAAATAATATCAAACAAAAAAATTAGTCTGTGAGGCTGTAAAGCAAATCCTGAAAATTGCACTCTTGAAGAGATAACTGAGTTACGTAATTTTTTTTATTTAAACAAAACACAATAAAAACTCCTCTGCAAGGGCAACTATAATGCAATGAAATGAGATATTGAAATTACCACAAGAGAAAAATAATGGAAAAAGTTATTTCCTTTGCTTACTGTTATATAAAAAAGTCACCCTTAGCTATAATCCTGTTGAAATATTTCATATAAAATATCAGCTTGCCTTGAAGAGTAGGCTAAGAAATTTTACTGGGTTTATGCAATATAAGGTTTCCTTTTTTGAGGTGCATTTCAAGCTGAGATAAAGAGAAATGTTCAGGTTAAAATGGCCGACTGAAGCCGTGTCATAGAACCTCTTTTCCACAATGACGAATGAAAAACATGATAAATCACAATAACAACAATAACAAACAAGAAAAATACAAAAAGCCAATTAAATCAACCAACCAATTAAGAAACAAACAAAACAAGGAAAGAAATGGAATATTCTGGTAAGAATTGATTGTGAACCATTTTTATATTTCCTGGGAAAAATTTTGAAGAAATAAAAGTATTTCCAAATTTGGAACAACTTAAACTGTCTCGGCATCCTTTCTTTTTCTTTTTTCAACTGAGTAGTAAGGGAATGAGTATTGGGAATAAGGTTGGGATAAATGAAGAAAAGAAAAATAAAGCAGGAATTCTGTCACACAACGGATTTCAGGGCTGCCCAACACATTTCGAATGAAACAGAAACTTGGAAGATATCCCTCCATGAAATCATATATGCCCTCCAATTATGTAAAGTGAATCTTGGTAAAGAAAATTTGACTATTTACCAAGTAAGAACAGAAGCAAATATTCCAACAACAGCAACAAAAATTATACCACTTTAGCAATTATATGGGCCTTCTCCTAAGAGCTGTGTAGATAAAACACAAATAATTACCGTTAAGCTGTCGCTCAGAGAGGAAAACAAGCAAGTCTCAGATAGAGTTGTAAATATTAACATTTAAAATGTCACAGTATTGTATCAGAGCAAATAGAAGTTTTGGAAAGAAATCCCCAAGCATGAGCAAGATGAAAATAAATTATGTTTTTGTATAAATAAAGTACAGGGAAGAATTCAGTAAGAAATAAAAACAGAGAGAGAAGGAGAAAAGGAAGGAAGAAGAGAAAGAAAGAAAAGGGGAGGGAGGGAAGGAGGAGATATATAATAGACAAAGGGCCCTACCTAAGGGAAAACATAACTCAATGAACAGGAAGAAATTTTCTGTATTTGTTTTATTCCCTACTTTAGCATCTTACTAAAAATTAATTCAATAACAAAATTTCAAAAAATAAAATGGATATATGATATAAAAAGAGAAATTACTGATCTAATGATGTAGATAAAGAACCAAAATAATTTCTCTGGAGAACAATGTTAAATTGTTCTCATTAATAGTTTTTGCTTAAAATGATAGGAAAAAATGCTGAGAAAATGTAAAGGGAAAGGATAAATATATTAATGAAATCTAAAGCTATTCGGTATTGAAAATAATTAGGGATTATTGGTGTCTTTCAGGTAGAGAAGCCAATAAATGACAATAAATGCTGTTCAAAGTAGAATATGAGAACATAATTTTTCTGAAGTAAAGATTCTACATTTGCTGCTTAAAATGGCATATTACAGAAAAAAAAATCAGGCATTAAGCTATTTACAAGAGGGCAAATGTCCCTCAAACCTCAGACCTCTTCACAGCAGCTTTTTCAGCTAGAAGACAATATGGCAAAGTTTTCAGGGATCCAAAAATATTTTTAAATATATATTCAAAGTACATTATACCAGTGCATACCAGTCACAATATTGTATCAGAGAAACTAGAAGTTTTGGAAAGAAATTCCATTTATAAAGGAGCCCATTTTGAGCTTCTCAAGTTATTCTGTTTTGATTTCACAATCTATCATTTCATTATTTTCTTTACAATATATTTTTTCTATATCAGGCCTGCAACATTAAACTATGCCTGATATACTTGAGAATACAAAGAATTGCTCAAGTTTGGAAGACATTTGAGGATGATAAGATTGCATTCAGTCAATAAACTAACAAGCCAAAAAAGACAAATATTTAGGCCAAATAAGAATGCCAGTGAGTGGACTTGCTTCCTTTGCCTCCTTAGGCCCTTAAAGTTCTGAATAGACTTGGTAATCATTGTAGCCTCCATGGAGCAAGGATGCCACTGGGTTAGAGGAACTAGAAGCTTGATCTAGTTACCTTACATACCATTAGACTGGAGGTGGGTTGAGGTGGAGAAGCTACATCACTACTTGACATACAGCCTGATAAGGACATTTTTATCCTACAGACTAAGTTTTCTTCCTATTTTGTACTGTCTCATCACACTTGCATTTGAACTGACTATGGCTTGTTCCAATATGTATTAACCACATTACATGGTCAAATTGCTAAAATATCCTTTTCATTTTTGAGACACACTGTTAGTATATGGATGATAAATTAATTATCTTTTATACTTTCTTTTTATTGTTTTCTCTAGTTTGGGTAACAACTACAGAAAGAGATACTGGCTGTTAGATTCCATAAATGATAGACTAAATTTGAATGTTATTTATTTATTCTTAGTGTTCATCTGTGACTTAAGATTTACTCCTAAGTACATCTGACCTTACATCTGTCCTGACTCTAGAGTATTTCTGTAGCAAAACAAAATTAAGAGTCCATCAACTGAGCTTCTGAGAAGGGAGATACTGATACTTATGTCTCAGTAGTGCACACAAGTAGAGAAGTTGAGATGAAAAAATCCAGGATGGGATGAGTTCTTGTACCATTGGTGCATGTTAATGATATTTCAAAGTCAGATGCACCACACAAGGATTCTTAGCATCATTCAGCGATGTAGAATTTTAATTTATGATGCATTTTTCTGTTAATTAGGTGTACAGCAACATTTTTATCCAGTCATCCATCCATCCACCTGCCCATTCATCCATTTATTCAACCAATATCTATTCAAATTCTCCTATATGTCATGTCCAGTGTTTGATGAGTAACTATCAGAAAATACAATAAACAAAATCATTGGCATCATTTAGCAACATTTTGAATATTTAGTTACACTCTGTGTAAGCATATTCCATGCTTCAGTAAAGTGTATCAGGTTTTAACCTAGATCTTATGTCATACCATTTACTGCGATCCCTCCATATTCTCAGATCCGTGTGTCTCACTCTGTGATTTTCTGTGTTTCCAGCTCATTCTCTCTGGTCCCAAAATTGTAAAGTTTTCTTCACTGGGACCTTCATTCTATTGATCCTTCCAGCTTTCACTGTCCTTCACTTTGTAGAAGGGAAAGATGAGTTTTCTCTCGCTTTAAACAGCTTAGATTCCATAGTTAACCGTTATAATTACTTCCTTCATTTCAATGACTTCTGCATCCTTCTCTAACTTCATTGCACTAACCTAGAAAAATCAAAGCCTTTGTTAAATCTAACTTTGCCTACTCCACACCTGCTACCATTTAGCTGAAAATGACTAGAGCAAAATGCACACACACACACACATGCACACAAAACCATGTGTGTTTGAAATTCACAACACATACCTTCATGAGTTCTTAAGGCTACCTGGAAATAATTTTAAATTTCCTTAATAGTTTCACATCTTGCTCTATTCCAGACCTCCATTGCATCCTCCCAACAGCTCACTTTTAGATAGTAACTTAATTTCTTATTTCAAGGAGAAAATACAACAAATGGAGAAAAACTTCCATAGACCCATGGACTTCCACTGGCACATACACTCACTTCCAGCATTCGTTTTCTCTGCCTTTTGGCATTTCGTCGTAGACGAATTTTTCATCATCTCTCTGAAACTAGTCGCTCAGTTTGTAACTACACCCCATCCCATCAATCATTCCCTATAGTATAAAAATATGCTTTTATGTCTCTCAGTTTTTAAAAGCCCTCTCTTGGATCCACCAACTCTGTTCCATTTTTTATCCTTTTGCAGAAAAGCTTGAAAATGTCTGCACAATTGCTCTCCAATTTTTTTCCCCTCTCATTCTCTCTTAAACTAACAACTACAGTCAGGATTTTGCCCTCGTCAGTCACTGGGGCTGTTGACTTCTCTCTTGCTGATGGCAATGCACAATGCTCAGTCCTTTCAGCAGAACAGGACACAGTGAACCACTCACCTTTTGAAGAACAGTCTTCACTTGGATTCCAAAAGCCTGCTATTCATTTTGTCTTTCTCCCATCTCCCTGGTTGTTCCCACTGCCTCTTCTTGGCTGGCATCTTTGCTTATCTGTGACCACCTTAATATTGAAGGTTCCCATTCCGTGGTCTTCTTCTCATCTCTTCTCTAACAATCTCTTCTGATATTTTCTATTATTGCCGTAATATTTTGAAAAATATTCCTGGAGCAATGGAAGTCAACACAAGGATTTATAAATGATTTTGATTCAATTTTGAATTATTGATATCCTTCTATCAAGTCAAATTGAAAACTATTTTCTTGAGGAAGGTTTTGATAAATGAGACACTTCACTAATAACGAGATGCCCAAAGGTCATAACATAAAAGCATTTAGAAAGAAAATAAATAAGTCTTCAAGGCAGAATTAAATGTCACATAATTTGAAGATTTTCAAGTAAATCAGTCAGTCATCTGTTGAAGAATATGGGCCGAAGTTTGATTACTTTATTGAGAAAGAGTTATCTATCCACTCTTCTCTGACATAAGCATACATAACATCTAGTAAATTACTGCATTTCATGAGAGGTCACCTAATGATGTGTATGACAATTAGAAAAGCTTGGATTATTTTGCATGTAATAATACAATATTTCTGAATTTTTTTGTTGGTCCCCTGATAATTTTAAATGTATGTATCTGTTAAAATTCAATTTTTTCCCCTTGAGGAAGCAGTTTAAAACTTTAGTAACTTTATCAGGGAGAATTTTGTTTGTGTGACAGTTGCTTTAACAATGGGCTTTCTTCTCAGGAGGGAAAATATCAATGTCATGTGGTGTGTCAGTTGCTATGGTAACTATACCTTATTCCTTTTTTTAATAACACTTTGAACTGGCTCTTAAACCTGAGCAAAACTCTGCCCTGCTGAGGAGTAAACTGCTGCGTCACCAGAGCTCAGCTCTCAAACCCTACTCCCCCGCCCAGCCTCCCCCACCACTAGATGCTTATTTGACGCTTATTCACAGATACTCTTATTCACTCCACTTGGTTAGCTGTGGAATGCAATAGGAATTAGATTCATAAGAGATTGCTAATTAAATATGAAGAAAAGGCCAAATTTTCCAGTTTACCTCTGTTAATGCAGAAAATGGGTAGACTTTATTTCTCATTAACCTATCAGATTTCTTGACTTAATGTATTAACTCCACCTCTACTCTTCCTACAGAACTCTGGTTTGAAATGTCTTGACCACAGTTCTCTACCTCAGTCTTTGTAATGGACATTTGAATACAAATGAAGATCAAAATAGATTTGAGTGCATTTTAATGTCTTTGTAATTGAAATGAAGTTTGGACTACCAAATCTCTAATGTGAAAGCAACTAAAGTATACTTTGACCCATGTCATACAATAGCGTAGAGAAATCTGATATCCTCTCCATTGTTCCTTTTATAGCTGCTTGTGAAATAAATCATAAAGTGCTTAACAACAGTTTATCCTACAATCATGATATTTGTTTTTTTAATTTATTATTATTATTATTATTTTTTGAGACCATGTTTCACTCTGTCACCCAGGGTGGAGTGCAGTGGCGTGATCTCAGCTCACTGCAACTTCTGCCTCCCAGGTTTCAAGGATTCTCCTGCTTCAACCTCCTGAGTAGCTGGGATTACAGGTGTGCACCACCACACCCATCTAATTTTTGTATTTTTAGTAGAGATGGAGTTTTACCATTTTGTCCAGGCTAGTCTTGAACTCCTGACCTCAAGTGATCTGCTCACTTTGGCCTCCCAAAATGCTGGAATTACAGGCATGAGCCACCGTACCCAGCCTATAATCATTATCTTTAATTAATAAAGTTTATTTTATTGCGATGAATGCACTTGTCAGTATTATAATAGTTTTTATTTTAAAATTACTGTCGGCCAGGCACGGTGGCCCATGCCTGTAATCCCAGCACTCTGGGAGGCCAAGGAGGGTGGATCACCTGAGGTCAGGAGTTCAAGACCAGCCCATGCAACATGGTGAAACCTGATCACTACTAAAAATACAAAAATTAGCTGGGCATGGTGACACATGTCTGTAATCCCAGGAGGCTGAGGCAGGAGAATCTCTTGAGCCTGGGAGGTGGAGGTTGTAGTGAGCCAAGAGTGTGTCATTGCACTCCAGCCTGAGCAACAGAGCAAGACTCCGTCTCAAAAAAAAAGAAAATTACTATCAAGGACACAGAAAGATCTAAATGCAACATAGCTTATTAATATAAAGATCTGAATTTGTGTTCATACATCCTTCAAAACATAGACCTCAAAATATATACAAAATTAAATTTTTAATTGGTCATAAGTGTTAAGTACTATTTTTATAAGAGGATAAAATGGATGATATTGATATTATGTTCTTACATGTATACTATCATTTTACTTGTATTATATTAAACACTATTATTGTAGTCTCACGTAGGTCTCGAAAATATTATCTTCAAATATGTGTAGGGAATCAGTAAAATATAGCCTTCCGAAATCTTTATTACACATGTGTATTTTATATATTTTATATATAAGTATAAATATATAGCTATGTGTGTGTTTTATAAGGTATATTATATATGTGTGTATATATTATGCACAGTATGAAACATGCCCAGAAATATAGAATCCAAATATTGTGATTAATGTTTACAAAGGCAAACCAAGATCTATTTTATTGAGAATAAAGTCCTCATCACATTCTCCTATCCCCAGAATGAATCAGAGAATATGAACTAACACAATGACTAGAGTCCTGACAGGCAGTCTGAAGATTTAGGATGCAGTTGAGAGCTTAGTTTGCTAAAGAAAGACCCTGCATTTTCTTTCAGGCCAATCATAAAGGTAAAATGAATCTTATTCCCTGTAGCATACTACCTCACCTCTTCCCATTCCTGCTATAGGACCCCTAGGGCACATGGCCTACAGGACTTGTGGTTTCTTGAGTATATACACAGTGTGACTCTTCTCACATAGCCAATACTAAATTTTAAAGAGTAACACAGGGTGGAAAAGGATAAATAGTCCCTTCTGTAGTGTAATACCTAGTATATTAGTCAAGGATAGCCAGAGAAACAGCAGCAATAGGATAATATAAGGAGATTTATTCTAAGAGATTGGCTTGTGTGATTATGGAAGTTGATAAGACCTAAGATCTTCAGGGTAAGTCAGCAACCTGGAGACCTAGAGGAACCAGTGGTATAGTTCCAATCCAAAGCCTGCAGGCTTGAGACCCAGGAAGATCCAACGTCTCATTCTAAAGGCCATCAGAAAAGAAGAATCCCCTCTTTGGGGATGTCAGCCTTTATGTTTTACTCAGATGTTCTGCTTAATGGGTGAGACTCACCTACATTAGAGGGAGCAATCTGCTTTACTCAGCCTGCCAATTTAAACATTACTGTCATCCGGACACCCTCATAAAAGCACCCAGAATAATCTGTGCCGAAATATCTGGGCAACTCATGGCCCAGTCATGTTGACTCATAAAATTAATCATCACACCTAGGTTATCTTCTGGTTCTGCCACTACCTAGGAATTAAACCTTGCCAATCACTTAACCTTTATGGACCTAAGTTTATTACCTAAAAATGAAGAGATTGAGTAACATAAATTATAAGATCCTTATTCATTCTAAAATATATTCTTATGCAGGTACAGCCATTTTAGCAATATTCATTTAACGTCCCATGGTCAAATACACAAGAGAATCCATAGTAGAAAATCTGCCAAAAATATTTATTATCATTATGTCAGAAACACCAATGCCTTGTTTTTCTATTAATCTTTAACTTCATTTCAATTTGTGCAATCTGAAGACTTTAAATAAATTATCACAAATAGGACCAAGGACACCTTTGGGATATTAGCAGGAAAATGAAGAAAAAAGTTCAGTAAAAATGAAACAATGCATTTATACTCAAATAAATCCAAACAGTTTTTGAGCTGTTACTTACCCCCTTCCCCTATCTCGCATACAATCTCGTTATCACGCCAGTGAAACTCTTAGGAATTGACACCTTTCTAAGATATTGAGACACAGAAGAACTTGCAAATAAGAGGTATCAATATAGTGAGAATAACCACGAAAAAAAGTCCTTGAGGTAGTATGTGAGATAATGGACAGGATGCACTCAATTCACATCTGCACAAGTACTGTGTCTGTAGATGTATGTATTTAAATGAGAGAGCAAGCAATCACATGAATCCCTGGGGATGTGTTGATAATTACACATTCAGATGCTCTTTGCTCTTAGCAGTAACTTAAGAATCATTTACAGTGGTTTCCAAATTCTTCGCTTTGCATTTCTCACCAGTAAATATTTCTAAGTATGCCCCCCGTGTACATGTTTATTTATTTTCAAGTCATATATAATAAAGTGAACACTCAGAATATAAAGAAAATGAAATTGAAATAAATCAGAATTGAAATTTTAACATTTTTTTCCACCCTCAAATGGAGCATCTCTCATTAATCTCTCAACTTTACATGCATCTATAATACACTGATATCTCATTGTGCCATTTTGAATAAAATTTATTCCTAAAGATTGGTGGGGAAGATAAAGGAGGAGCTGGTACAGCAGCCATTTAGAAATGAGAGAGGACTGATCACATTAAATTATCATAGGAATTTACTAAAGTTAGGATTTGGAATGTTATTTATCTAATCAGCATTCAAGTTTTCTCATTCTTAAAATGAGATTGTTATAATCTATTGTTCCCCTTTAGCTCTAAAATTTCAGTTCTCAACCACCAGTTTCTGGTGCAGCATGTAAAGAGCTTTGAATCATCACTCACATTCTCACAGCACCAAAAAGACCAATCAAATCCTGAAAATCAACAACTCTTCTTAGATCCATCAGGAAATTAAGATCCCATGGCAAACTACGGCCACTAAAAGTGGCAAGACAGGGAAATTCAAGAGCCACAGCTTAAAAGGAGCAGAAGCCAGCGGCTGAACTGACAGGAGTACTGTGACTGTAACTGACAAATTACCAGAGGCTGAGACTCGATGGGTTTGAGTTAAAACCTCCAAAGAAGAGGACAATCTTAGGAGTGTCTTTATGCTTTCCTGAGTTTTACCACCAAGAGCCCCACCAGATTCTCAGGGTGAAGACCAAATAAAAATCCTCTTTTATTTCAGGCAGTCAGAGGAGAAAAAACTATTTTGAAATATGCCTGGAACATTTTGTTCTCCTTAAGAAAGGACTGCCCTCAAAAGAAGCAATTATGCCAGAGCCTAGCTCATTTGGGTTTTACCAGAACCTGGCTTCTCTGAGGGAAGAAAAATACTATAGTTCCCCTTATTCACTGGGAATAGCTTCCAAGACCCCTACTACATGCCTAAAACCAGGGATAGTATCAAACCCTATATATACTATGTGTTTTCCTATCATACATACCTATGATAAAGTGTAATTTATAAATCAAGGACAGTAGAAGATTAATAATAATAACAAAATATAATTATAACAGTATACTCTAGTATAAGTTATGGAAATATGGTCTTTCTCTCTGTGTCTCAAAATATCTTATTGTACTCTACACAGCTGTTTTCTGACCTCAGTTGACCATGGGCAACTGAAACTGCAGAAAGAGAAACTGTAGATAAGGGGGAAACTGAGGTACCCGACTTCTGCTCACACTAGACTTCCTGCTTCACCTAAGAGAAGAAATACCTGAGAAGCACTTGTGAAGGTCACAGCCAGAAGGGCACAGCCACCCTGAATGACAGAGCTCTAATCATAGGATTACACAGCACTTCCCACTGCCCACACCTTCCCACCACATCAGCGGGGCTCCTGAATAATAACAAGGCTTTACAGAACTGCACGCCTCAGACACTACTTAAGAAGGAGCCTCTAAGAAAACCCAGAGATAACAGAGGAGACAAAACCAAGGATATTAGAAGAAATTTTATCCTCTGACATACAACTACAGCAAACAATAAGCAGCATATCAACCCTAGCCAGACAAACATAAAACCTCCAATGAAAGGCCTATTTTTCTCCTATTCTTTTACCTGATACATCATGTCTGGCTTTCAACAAGAAATTTAAAAACATGTGAAGAGGCAAAAACATAGTTTGAAAAATCAAAGTAATATCAGAACCAGACTCAGATATGGTAGTGGTTTCAGAATTATCGGAATGGTCATTTAAAATAGCTATAATTAATATGCTAAGGAGTCTAATGGAAAAACATTCAGGAACAGATGGGCAATTAAGCCAGGAGACAGAAACTCTAAGAATCAAAAGGAAATGCTAGACATCAAAAACACTATAACAAAAATAAAACATGCCTTTAATGGGCTCATCAGTAGATTCGGCAGGACCAAGGAAAGACTTAATGAGCTTATAGTTATGTCAACAGAAACTTCCCAAACTGAAATGCAAAGCTGTAAAAGAATAAAAAGTATGGAACACAATATCCAAGAACTGAGGGGCATCATAAAAGATGTAGTCTGCCTCTAATGGGAATATCAGAAGGAGAAACAAAATATTTAAAATAATAATGGCTGATAATTTGCTTAAATTAATGAGACACCAAACCACAGATCCAGGAAACTCAGACACTAAGCAGGATAAATACCAAAAAATCTACACCTAGATTTTTAAATACAGAAATTAAAATTGCTAATATCAGAATGAAAAAGAGACCATAACTACTGATTCCATATACATATTAAACTGCAAACTGCAGAAAATCAAAGGCAGAACAATCTTGAAAGACGTCGGAGGGAATAAAAACACAAAGGATAAGAATTGCAATAGACTTCTCTTAAGAAACCCTACAGAACCTTCCAAGAAGAAAATGTCATGAAATACTTAAAACACTCCAAGGAAAAAATCACCCACCTAACATTCTATATACAGCAAAATTATCCTTCTCAAGCAAAGGAGAGAAAAATGTTTTCTCAAACAAGAATTGAGTACACCTGCCTTGCAAGAAATATTAGGCGTTCTTCAGAAAGAAGGGAAATTATATAGGTCAAAAATTTGGATCTATACAAAGAAAGAGCATTAGAGAAGGAATAAAGGTAAAATAAAATCTCTACTTTTCTATTCTTAATTGATCTAACAGATACAATTTTTTTCAAAGTAATAACAATGTATTGGGTCATTATAGTTTGTGGATCAGTGAAATGAAGGACCATAATACAGTGAGGAGTAGGAGGAAATAATTGGGAATACTCTGTTAGGAGGCACTTGCACTACTCACAAAACAGTGTAGTGCTATTTGAAAGTGGATTTAGAGTAGTTGTAAATGTACATTGAAGACTTTAGGACAACCTCTAAAAAGTTTTTTAAAAGAAATATAACTGATATGCTAAGAGAAGAGAAAAAATTGAATAATAGGAAATTCTTATTTACAGCCACAGAAGGCAAAAAAAAGACTGGAAGACAAAAAAGGGAACACAGAACAAGGGCAGTGAGTAGAAAACGGTAACACATATGGTAAATATTGATCTAACTATATCAATAATAACTTTAAGTGCAAGCGGATTAGATGCATCAAATTAAGAGTCAAAGACTGAGTGGATTAACAAAAAAGAAAAAAGATTCAATTCTATGTTGTCTACAAAAAACCTACTTCAAATATGAAGATACAGGGAAATTAAGATATAGAAAGATATACCAGGCTAACACTTCTCAAAACAAAGCTAAAGTAGCTGTATTAATTTTAAACTAAACAAATTCAGAGCAAGAAAAATTATCAGGAACAAAAAGTTGCATTACATAATGACAAAGGTTGGTTTCCCAAGAATACATAGCAAGAATTAATTTGTGTATGCCTAACAAGAGTGCCAGAAGATGTAAGGCAAAAACTGATGCAATTACAAGATGGAGTAGACAATTCCACAGTTACAGTTGGAAACCTCAACAACTCTCTATGAATAAATAACATACCCAGCAGGCAGAAAGCCAGTAAGGATATGGTTGAACTGAATAGTACCATCAATCATTTGGATCTAATTGACATTTATGGAACATTTCTTTCAACAGCAGCACAAACCATTTTCTTCTCAATATCACATGGATCATTCACCAAGTTAGTCCACATTCTAAACCATAAAGCATATCTTAACAAATTTCAAAATAATTGAAATCATACCAAGTATTCTCACGGACCACACTGAATTAAAGTATTAACCAGTAACAGAGAGATAGTTGGTAAATTTTAAAATATATGGAGATTAAACAACATACTTCTAATAAGACATGAATCAAAAAATTCAATCAAAATTAAACGTATTTTGATTAAATAAATACAAAAATGCAAGTCATTAAAATTTGTATGATGCAGCAAAAACAGTGATTAGAGGGAAATTTGTAGCATTGAATGAATATTTTAGAAAATAAAAGAGACCTAAAATCAATAAAATAAGCTTCTAATTTAGGCAACTAGAAGAAGAAGAAAACAAATTTAATCAAAAGTAAGCAGAACAAAATGAATAAAAATTAGAGCAGAAATCAATAGCAGCGAAAACAGAAAATTAATAGAGAAATTGACGAAACCAAAAGCTAATTATTTGAAAAGACCAAAAAATTAATAAACTTCTAGTCAGCCTAACAAGAACAAAAGAGAAAATACAACTTGCTAACATCACAATCAAAAAGAGATGGTAAATATTGATTCCATAGATATTAAAATGATAGTAAGGGAATATTATGAATAACTTTGTACTCATAAATTTCATACCTTAGAAGAAACTGACCAATTTCCTGAAAGGAAATACCTACTAAAACTCACACAAGTAGAAGTAGATAAGTTGAATCGGCCTTTATCTATCAAAGAAACTGATGAATAATTAAATAGTCTTCCAACAAAGAAAACATCAGGGCCAGATGGCTTCCCTACTGAATTTTCCCGAATATATAAGAAAGAAAGAATACCAATGCTCAGTAATCTCCAAAAAAGAGAAACCAAAGAAAACTTTCTAACTTATTTGATGGTGATAGCACTACCTTAATAGCAAAATCAGAAAAAAAAATTACAAGGAAAAGAAGTGAAAGACCAGTATCTCTGACAGATATACCTGCAAAAATCTTCAACAAAATATTAGTGATTTTATCTAACAATTTATAAAAGGAATTAATTACCACAACCAAGTGTGATTTATCCAATGTATGCAAGGCTGGTTCAACATTCAAAACACAATTAAGTAACCCATCACATCAACAGGCTAAAACAAAAGAAGAAAAATGAAGTGATCATATTGATAGATACAAAAAAAATTGACAAAATGCAATGCCAATTTATAATAAAACCTTTCAGCAAACTTGGAATACAGAGGAACTTGCTCAACCTGATAAAGAACATCTACATAAACCTACAGCAAACAGCATACTGAATCGTGAGAAAGTAGATTTCCCCTTAAGATCAGGAGCAAGGAAATGATGTCTCCTGTCACCACGGTAATATAACTTCTTACTAGGCATCCTAGCTAATGCAATAGGACAAGAAAGGGAAATAAAATGTATGCAGATTGGGAAAGAAAGAATAAAACTTTATTCTCCAGTGACATGACATGATTTTCTATGTAGAATGTCTCAAAGACTCAACAAATAAAACTCCTGTAACTAATAAGCAAATATAGCGAGGTTGCAGGATACAAGGTTAACACACAAAAGTCAACTGATTTTCTATGTACTAGAGATGAATAGTTGGAATTTTAAAAATACAATCCACTTACATTATCTCTGGAAAAATATCAAAATACTTAGGTATGTATCTATAACAAAATACATACAAGTTGATGTGAAAAAAACTATAAAATTCTGATAAAAGAAATTTTTAAAGATATACAGACAGCAAATATGCTATGAAAAGATGTTCAAGATCGTATGTGATTATGGAATTGCACATTAAAACAATGAGATACCACTACACACCCACAGGAAAGGCTAAAATCCAAAATACTTAAAACACAAAATGCTGGCACCCATATAGAGCAACGGGAACTGCCATTTATTGCTGGTGGGAATGCAAAAGGGAACAGCCACTTTGGAAGCCAGTAGGGCAGCTTCATACAAAGCTCAGTGTCATGTTACCATACAAGGCTATAGTCATACTCCCTTGTGATTACCCAAATGAATTGAAAACTTATATCGAAAAAAAACCTTATGAGTTTCTTCATTATTACAAATTTGGAAGCAACCAAGATATTTTTCAATAGGTGAATGAATAAACCAATTGTAGTGCATATGTAGAATGAAATATCTTTCAGTGACAAAAGGAAATGAGCTACCGAGTCACAACGAAAGACATAAAGGAACCTGAAATGCATATCACTAAATGAAAGAAGCCAATGTGGAAAGACTACATACTACATGATTCCGACCATAAGACATTCCAGAAAAGGCAAAATTATACTCGAATAGACAGTAAAAAGATTGGAGGCTGTCAGGGCTTCCAGCAGGGGCCAGGGAGGATGAATAAGTGGAACCTGGAAGATTCTTAAGGTTAGAAAGTATTGTGTATGGTATTATAACGGCGAATACATGACATTGGGCACTTGCCAAAGCCCATAGAATGGTACAACATGAAGAGGTAATGCTAATTAGAGCTATGAACTTTAGTTAAAAATAATGTGTCAGTATTGGCTTATCAATTGTAACAAACGTACCACACCAATGCAAGATATTAATAAATAGGAGATACTAGGTGTGTAGGAACAGGATGAGAGGGTATATGGGAAACTCTACTTACTTTCTGTTCAGTTTTCTGGTAATCTAAAACCTATCTTAAAAATACGGTCTGTTCATATTTTTAAACACGAGAAAATTGATTCTGTAAATGCATGATTGTCAAAGCCTCATTTGTCTCTGTGTACTGTGTAGCCCAAGTTGTACAGAGGCATGGAGCTAAATGAAGTGTTGAGAGGGAGATTACACACACACACACACACACACACACACCTGTGTATACGTGTGTGTAGATATATATATTCATGTATATATGTAGTCATGCATGGCATAATGGCACTCTGGTCAACAATGAACCACATATATGACTCCTCCAGGGCAGCTTCTAATCTGACATGCTCCATTCACGGTAAATGCCCTATACAGGTATACAATTTTTATCTTTTATATCATGTTTTTACTGTTCCTTTTTATGTTTAGATACACAAATACCATTATGTTACAGTTGCCTACAGCATTCAGCAGAGTCACATGCTGTACACATTTCTAGTCTAGGTACACAAGGCTCTACCATATAGTCTAGGAGTGTATTAGGCTCTACCATCTAGGTTAGTGTGAGTATACTATATGGTGTTTGCCCAATGACAAAATTGCCTCACAAGGCATTTCTCAGAACAAAACCCCATCATTAAATGACACATGACTAAATATGTGTGTGTGTGTGTGTGTGTGTGTGTGTGACATCTTCTCATAACTTTTTAATTTAATTTAATTTAATTTAATTTTATTTTATTTTATTTTTTGAGATGGAGTTTAGCTCTTGTTGCCCAGGCTGGAGTGCGATGGCGCGATCTCGGCTCACCACAACTTCCGCCTCCCTGGTTCAAGTGATTCTCCTGCCTCAGCCTCCCAAGTGGCTGTGATTACAGGCATGCGCCACCACGCCTGCCTAATTTTGTATTTTTGATAGAGACGGGGTTTCTCCATGTTGGTCAGGCTGGTCTCAAACTCCAGACCTCAGGTGATCCACCCATCTCGGCCTCCCAAGGCTGGGTGTAGTGATATGATCACAGCTTACTGCAGCTTAGACCTCCCAGGCTCAAGTGATCCTTCATCCTCAGTATCCCAAGTAGCTGGGACTATAAGTGTATGCCACCATGCCTGGCTAATTTTTTGTATTTTTTTCTCGAGACGGGGTTTCTCCGCATTGCTCAGGATGGTCTGGAAATCTCCCTACCTCGACCTCCCAAAGCACTGAGATTACAGGTGTGATCCATTGTGCCCTGGCCTTCTCATAACATTTACGAAGAAACTGTTCCCCTGTTAGGGATGAGGAAATGGAAGCTCAAAAAAGAAAGAATGTTGTCCAGGGTTCAACAGCTGCTAAAAAGCTAACCCCTTAAGTTCATGAACTTGCTTTGATGAAATATTTTGGGGTTCGGATTAAAGTCATTAATGAGAGAGTGCCTGGGCTTGCTCTGGAGATTTGTGTCCAAATTGGCCCACAAGCATGTGAGGTTGAGTGCAGAAACAAAATACCTGAGAACCAGTGAAAATGCAAAGGAGAAGCGGCATTATTGGTTTACAGCCACCCAATTTCACTTCAACATTATCCACGAATCCTGGCATGTTTATGGAACTCGTTGTCTCCACTGGGTTAGAAAGACCGTATTCTTTCAAACTACTGTGTTCACCTTATTCTTAGCACGTGACATTGACTGACTGTATAGAGTTTGATAAAACTAACCCCTGAAATTTATAACAATATGTCCATGATAATACCTGTCAAAACGACTATTTTTTTTCCGGCTTGTTTTGCTATGTTGAAGACATTTTTAATTCTTCAAATTAAGACTCATGAATATTTGTCTAAAATGAAACCACTGTCTTTAACATTGTAAAATGAGTTAGAAAGGGTTCCTTCCTTTCTTCTATGTAGTTGGAATTTGTATAGAATCGGGATTAATTCTTATTTATATATTTGGTAGAATTTGTCAGAGAAGCCATCTGGACCTGAATATGTCAGAGGGTTTTTACAAGGAATTCAGTTTCATTAAAAGACATAGGACTATCCAGGTTCTACTTCTTTTCATGTGATATTTTGTGTCTTTCAAGGGATTTGTTCATTTCATTTAGGTTGCTGAAAACTGTTTCTTCATTGGAACCTTTCTTAGTTTCCATCTCTCTACTGATATCCCTCCCCTTTTTGTACACATTTTCCATCTTTTAAAATGGAGCCTTCAACATTTTAATCTGTTTACATTTCCTATTTAATAGTTTCAACATTTGGTGATCTGTGAATCTATTCTCTATATTGCCATGTGTCATGATGAATTTCTTTTTTTCTAAATTTTGTATCTGTGCTGCTGAGTGTCTCATAATGCTTTACTCAAGCCAAATATCTTATGTACAGCAAAGGAAACTGAGGTAAAAAGTACTTCCACCTGCAATTGGCAGTTAGTGTTGGGGATCAAATCCACCTCATCTAGAATTGATCTATGGCCACATTCTTTGCACTGCTGGTTTCAAATTACTCCAAGAATGATTGAGACTGGGTGAGGGACTGCAGTGCTGAGGGTGTGTCCAGTGTGCTCTGCTCTAAGGTTTGAGCCACCCCTTACATCAGTGCCACAGAAGGGAGCAAGCTCTTGCTCTTCTCCCCACAGTACAGCACAGTTGCTTATTATTCAGTGTTCCAAGGTTGATGTTGCATGGCACAAGGTGGGCTCTCCACATCCCTGGTCCAGACTTAGTCTCAGGCCAGCTGTGTGTGCCATGCTGTGAATTTTTCTCATCATTTCTCCTCTTTCTCTGTGTGCCAAGTTTCTTCCTGCTTCTCATCCAGAGATAGGAGACCTCTAAGAGTGTTCATAGAAGATCCTAGTACCCACACTTTTTTTCTGCCTCTTTGAATCTTTCCCAGTTTCAGAAGATTCTGTTGCTCCTTCAGAAATGGCTAGGACCTCAAGGCTATGTTTGCTGCTCTTCTCTCAGAGCCTTAAGTTTTTTGAGAGAATAATCCCTGCAGGAGGGTAGATGTTTATGCCTTTCTCCTTTTCCATATTTATACCAACAAGAAAGCCTCTCTCCAATCTTTGTTCTGCCAATCTTTCTCATGAGCACCCGGTGGGGGTTCATGGAAATATGCCTGCAGGCGGGTACATGTTCCCCTTGTGCCTGAGACTTCCGGGGGTTCTATTTTCCCATGTCAACAGATACTCATCATTTTGCTATGAATTCATATGTTATGTTCTGGCCCTCATGCCTATGACATGGTCTTCCCATGTTTTTCTACAGCTAAGACATTCTGCACATGTTATTTATCCATGGGGAATGAGGAGCTCCTCTTCCTTGGGCTTCAAGCTACTTAGTTGTCCTGTGACCTCAGCTGTCTGAAAGTTGTGATTTTATAGTTTATCCTACTTTTTATTTTTGTTAGAATGGGAGCAATATTTTTTTTTCATTTTTCTGCATCTGAGCCAGAAATGGAAAACTCCAACTCTCTTTTATATTTTTAATCTTTTCTTCTATACTGATTTTTCTCCAACAAGATTTAAAGATTTTTTTCTTAACACACACACACTCCTACTCCATATCTCTTTCCAAACTATTTTTAACTGCTTCCACTTGCTCAGCTTCACTCACCCCTTTGTCCAATGCAGTATGGCTGGCTTCTGACTCCAGCACAGTAGGAGCAATTGCTTTCTTACAACCTTGTTAAGGCTAAATGCAATAGTCTTAGTTCAGCCGTGGACTTAAATTTAGTTTTGGAACAGAGTCAATAAGTCATCAGAGTACGAGAGTTCTCAGACCAAATAAGCTTCTAGAATTTATAGAAAGTTAGCAGAAAGTATTTCTTATAGGAAACAGTTTACACAGGATAATACTTGTGTAAGATTTATTGTTCATGGAGGAAATTTAAAAAATAAACAGAAAAAGGGTAGACAGTGGAAAAAGTAATAGAGAAATGAATAGTCGAGTGTGAGCAACTGTTGGTCCCTTTATCTGAAGAAGGACTAAGTGGCTAAAAAGAGTAGAGAAGAAAAAAAAAGAAACTGAGAATCATCCTGTAAATTATAGTATAGAATATTCCAATGAGAAGGACTCAAGAATAGGAGTACTAATAAAATAGAAACAGCAATGTATGCTTAAGCCACTAGGAGACTACATAGGAAATAACATGAATACTACCAAAAAAGTGTTTTTGAGATGACACACATGCACATGTAACATTATATGAGGTAACAATGCAGATTTCCACAAACACTGACAGATCCTTTTAGAAGCAAGGCAGGAGTGGGTCAGGAAGTGGTTGATATCTTGAATAAGATAAATGAAAATGAGGGAGAGGTATTTTAACACTCTATTTTAAAATAATACCTTAAATTACGTGAGAGAATGTTTATCCCTGGAGAGCAAAGAAAGCAATCAGTAAGGATTTTCTCTACAGAAAGAGATTTCACCATAGGAAGAGTATCTATCTATCTATCTATCTATCTATCTATCTATCTATCTATCTATCTATATTCCATAAAGAGAAGGGTAAGATTTCACTTTGACAAATTCACACATTAATGGGAAAGGGGGGTGGTGGCAGGAGGAAAAAAAGATGTCTTGCAAAAATTTCCTGTGAAAAGGACTTTGCAAAACTCAGTAGCTTTACACAGCTCTGTCATTTGTTCACACTCAGACTCTTGAAATCACATTTAGGGACTTAGTCTATTCCTCCCCTTGCTGTGAATCTCATCTCTAAAAATTACACAATAAATGAGAAATGCTTGCTCACAGGAGTCTAATCATCAGATAAGTATTACCTTTCTTAACTCCAGCACATACCATCTCAGGAGAGCCCATCAGTCATATCACTGCATGAACACCCCAGACATGGTGGGTGACCCTAAAGAGCAGTGAGGAAAAGGAGAAAATTTGGTTTCTATGCCTTTCTCTTCACTCCAGAACTATTGAGTTGGCTGTGAGATCATTGTTTAACAAGATTTAATGAAACATCTTTATTGTTTTAACTTCCCCCCAAAAGGTATAACAAGTCCAAGTTTTGTAATTCATATTGTAAGTGATCTAATGGACATTATATTATTCAAAAGCATCCAAAAGGTACCCCAGAGAAGAAAGAGACCAGTGCTACTGCCTACCAGGTCTCTAGAATGAAAAAAAAAAAAATGAGCTGAATTTATTAAATTTCAAACTTCTATAATTTAATATAAATATGATCCTTTGGTTTATATATATTGCATGCAAATGTATCTGAAAGTTTGCTCTAAAGTAGTAAAAGATGAAAGATGACATCTTTTAGAAGAAGAACTAAGCATCAAACAAGGACACCTGCGTGCCACATTAAGCACATTTCTCTGGTGGAAACTTTATGGCACAGGTTGTCAGTGACTAAATGTTATAGCTCAATATTCTCCTATAATACTCTGCTATAACTTCCTGATGGTCCTAATGTAGAGGATCAAGAAAGGCCAAGGATACTGGTGAAAGTCATGAATCCTTTCTAGCCCAGTTTTCTATTAACTCTTCAAAGAGAAAATATCCAATGGAAAGCCCATACATACTTACTATTTTTCTTTATTTTTCAGTCCAATAAAACTGCGTCATTTTATCATTGAAAATATTCTGTTACTTCCCAGTAGCTTTGGTTTGGTTTAATTTTACAATTCCTTCAATTTTATGATGATAAAATGGCCTACCGACCTTTAAGTCTATTGCGAATTCTAGAATATGAACTGATATTTTTCTAGTGGTTTTGCAATTTGGGGTACCTGGCAATTATTATAGGCTCTGAAAATGTTTACCTATAGTGAAACCTGGTAAAAATGGCATTTCTTATGTGGATTACTTTTAATCTTCTGGTTCCATATGCTAAAATGTATGTGTTTTTTAAAAATATATATTTATACATAATATACTTAATATATATTTACATATAAATAAATGTATGCTTAATACATATTTACATATAAATAAATGTATACTTAATACATATTTACATATAAATAAATGTATACTTAATACATATTTACATATAAATAAATGTATACTTAATACATATTTACATATAAATAAATAAATGTATACTTAATATATATTTACATATAAATAAATGTATACTTAATATATATTTACATATAAATAAATGTATATTAATATATAGTTATAAATAAATGCATATTTAATATATATTTATAGGTAAATAAATGCACATTTAATATATATTTATATATTTAAATAAATGCATATTTAATATACATTTATATATAAATAAATGCATATTTAATATACATTTATATATAAATAAATGCATATTTAATACACATTTATATATAAATAAATGCATATTTAATACACATTTATATATAAATAAATGTATATTTAATACACATTTATATATAAATAAATGTATATTTAATACATATTTATATATATAAATAAATGTATATTTAATATATATTTTCTGTATATTTATATAAATATATATATCTCCTATTAGTTCTGTCCCTCTAGGGAACCCTAATACAGAGTTCTTCTAAACACACTTTCATTTTTAATGTAAAGGCTACCTACAAAAGGAAAGGAGAGGAGTAAGTCCTGTGATGCTGTAATGTATTCCCTGTATTCTCACCTCTTGTTAGCAGTTTGTTTGCCACACCCCACAGGACAGAAAATTACCCAGCCAGGTCTGCTCATTTATATTATTTTCTTTCCTAGTACGTCTCAGTACTTCCTTCTCAGAACTAATTCTAGTCACGTGGAAGAGGTAGCTAACCAAAGGGAATTCAGCAGCAGCATGTTAGAACTTTTCCTGACCTAGAAACTATGGCCCAAAATGACATATTGGACCTTCAGTTGGTAGCCAGATCTCCCCCGTCTAATCCAGTTTTAACAGCAGGACATTATCCTTGATCCTTACACCCGTGATCATATTCTTGCAGCTTATGTAGCAACCCAGTCCCTTCAAAGCCAGAAGACCTGCATGGCCCATCCCATCTACAATTGCTGCAGAAGCAGATTTCTTAGACTCCTGCCCCACTGATAAGGAGTAAGGTTCATAGTTCAGGGCTCAGATGTTCCTTGTCTTCCTGTTTTATTATAAACAATGGCTTTACCTGGATGATAACCAAGATATAACATTCTGAATACAAATCTGTGCAATCTAAAAATGTCACACAGGACTCCCCTGGAATTTGTTATTCTCCTGCCACTGCCACTGAGCTACTGCATTTGAACCTTTACAACTTTGGTGCTCTGTGTCTGTGCTCAGTGGCTCTATTCTTCATCAAATTCTTCTCAGAAGAGATGAGCCAGTAGACCTCTAAGAAGTACTGTATTACTCCATTTTTATACTGCTATGAAGAAATACCCGAGACTGGTAATTTAAAAAGAAAAAGAGGTTTAATGGACTCATAGTTCCACATGGCTGGAGAAGCCTCACAATCATGGCGGAAGGCGAAGGAGGAGCAAAGGCACATCTTACATGGAGGCAGGCCAGAGAGTGTGTGCAGGGGAACTCCCCTTTATGAAACCATCAGATCTCGTGAGACTTAATCATTTTCATGAGAACACAACAACAGCATGGAAAAAGGCTGCCCCTATGATTCAGATACCACCCACCAGGTCCCTCCCATGACATGCGGGGATTATGGGAGCTACAAATCCAGATGAGATTTGGGTGGGGACACAGCCAAACTATATAAAGCACATCCGAGTTCTCAAAGCTCACAGAAAATGTTATAGTATGAACACATACGCACAAACACTAAAAAGATGTAACCCAAGGATTTCAATAGCTATTCTTGCACACAATTGGATTACATGATCTTTAAAAACCCAAGATCTGGCCAGGCAAGGTGGCTCACACCTGTAATCCCAGCACTTTGGGAGGCCTAGGTGGGCAGATCACTTGAGGCCAGGAGTTTGCGACCAGCCTGGCCAATATGGCAAAACCCTGTCTCTACTAAAAATACAAAGTTTAGCCAGGCACAGTGTCACAGGTCTGTTATTCCAGCTACTCAGGAGGCTGAGGCACAAGAATCTCTTGAACCCAGGAGGTGGAAGGTGCAGTGGAGTGAGACTGCATCACTGAACTCCAGGCTGGGTGAAGGAGGGAGACTCTGTATCAAAAAACAACAAAAAAACCCCCAAGATCCTTTTGTTAATTCATTCTTATTATTTCTTCTAAAAATCACGAACAAAAGCAAATTTACTTACCCGCCAATTAGTTGGTGTGTTTTTGTTTCTTATTCTCATGACTGGATCCCACCTGTCTAGATTATACTGATGTTGCTTTAGAAATCCTTACACTTTTTACTTTACTTTTACCTTTTTTCCACTTGTGGAAACTTTTGTTTTTGTTTGTTCCATTTTCTTTACATTATAGAAGTAAATTCCACTTCTGCCATCTTTCATTTTAATATGCATTTAGCTTTTTACTTTAAGACCATTTAATATTAGGGCCAATCTGTGCTTTCTCTAATTTAATAGCAATTCCATCTATTCCTACTAGGTGAATGACAAATAACAAAATTTGGAATGACTTTTACATTTGTTTCTTTAAGATGATATGTCATTTTATCTTATCGATAAAGAGGCATGTTCCTGTCATACAGATATGTAAGCCATTTGCTGAAGTATAAACTAACTTCTCTGAATTTTCTATATTCCCTTTGTTCAGATTATGTTTGGTTTTCTCCTAGATAAACTCAGGAATAATTTCCTGTTGTTTGTTGGTGTCTCATATGCTTGTTTAGCAAAAAGGAACTCTCCACATAGAGTACCAAGTACACTTAGCTGCTCAAAGCTAGGGATCTCCTCAAAAGCACACATACTAAATTAGTAACACAAATGATCAACAGACCAAGAAGGCAGAGAATATAATCGAGTAATCAAACAATAGCTCTTGTGGTGTAACTTAAAATATACTGCCACTCAGATAAGATAAAAGTAGAATTCTAAATGGCCAAATCTTATTGCATTTCATTTTTAGTATCAAGTATATGTCACTGATAAGCAAATAATAAAATATATGTTCAATGACTTGAAAAATAGCATAATTTATTTTCCTCTTTTTTTTTTTTTTTTTGAGACTGAGTCTTGCTTTGTCGCCCAGGCTAGAGTGCAGTGGTGCGATCTTGGCTCACTGCAACCTCCCCCCCCCAGGTTCAAGTGATTCTCCTGCCTCAGCCTCCTGAGTAGCTGAGATTACAGGCACACACCACCACATCTGGCCAAGTTTTGTATTTTTAGTAGAGACGGTGTTTCACCATGATGGTCAGGCTGGTCTCGAATTCCTGACCTCGTGATCCACCTGCCTTGGCCTCCCAACGTACTGGGATTACAGGCACGAGCCACCACGCCTGGCCTCTTTTCTTCTTTTTAACAGCCACTGAATAATTATAAATGGAAAGCTTAGATAATCCAGAATTACTATATATGCTTATGTAATATACCATAAAATTACATCAAATTATTTGTGGTTATATACTATAAAATATATCATAAAATTAATTAGTCTTGGTTTAGTTAAAAGAAGAATTTAATGTAGTGGGAATATCTCCTAGAGTGTTAAAAATGTTATAAAGTGTTGAGAAGTTACTGATGTAGAAGGTTGAATATTCTTGCCAAGAATATTCAAGTAATTAGAGTGGTATGAGACACGTAAGAGATTAGACAATATGCAAAACATCCCTATCCGACTTTGAGTGAGGTTTTATGATAATGGTGCTCTCTAAAGTGGTAATCAGTGATTTTAAGGCCTATGGTAGAAACATCTGCACCATAGAGCAGTAAAAACAAGAAAAATCCTGAGAGCTCCTTGTGTATAAAATTTTGAAAGACACTTACAGAGAGATAACTTCATACATTGTGTTCATCTTTTGGATTCTGGCTTTACAAATTTCTGGCTGCCTGGTGTCTGTCCTTGTATAAAATGCATGAAGTTATTATGCATTTATGTGTGTGTTTATTTATTTGGGTTTAGCTGGAGCAAATGATGACATATCCTCCTGTCATTGCATTTACATAATCTATCTTGATTCACTTGTATTATTTGTTCCCAGCCATAAAATTCATCTTATACTAGTCTGTATTTACTCTATTGAATTCAACTTTTTTTAATGTCTGAGTCTCAGCTCCTTGAAAAGTCTCTGTGCAATAATAATGGTATTGTTAAATTTTTGTTTCCGTATACATGTCTTATCAAACCAATATTATACATGATTTTAATTTTGTAATGTTCTAGAGTAAATGGGCAGCTTGAGAAAGAGGTGATGTAAATAATAAAGATGGTATTTATCGTTATTACCTTTAGTGCTGGGTTACCAGACAGTGTTTAAATTGCTTTGTATACGTTATCCTATTTCTAACTCTCATAACCTTAGGATATAAGTACTAATCTCTTATGAAATTTATTCACAAAGAAAATAATGATTCTCTCTCTCTCATATCTATATACATATATAGATATGAGAGTCTATATATATATACACACACATATGTATATATGTATATATATACAGAGTGTATGTGTGTATATATATATATATACACTACATATCGAACATTATATATAGTTTTCATACACTATATATAGTTCGTTGGTGTGTTGTACACTGGCTTTCATGTCTGCTGTATTCTTACTGATTTCTATCTACTTTTCCTGTCACTTGCTGAGAGGGGAATATCAAAATTTCTACTATATATATATTAGAAAGCATATATGTATGATATATATAGTTATATATATGTATTAGAAATTTTAATATTACCCTCTCAGCAAGTGACAGGAAAAGTAGATAGAAATCAGTAATAATACAGCAGACATGAAAGCCAGTACACAACACACCAACTAACTGACATTGACAGAGGATTCCACCTAACCAAAACAGAATATAAATATAAATGATACATTCACAAAGCTAGACTATAAGTTTTACCATAGAAGAAAGCTCAATACATTTGAAGTTATTGAAATAATATATATTATGCTCTAATATCATAATAGAAATAAATTTAAATGGAATAATAAAGATATTAGAAATGTTTCTAACATACTCCTAAATAACTAATGGATTAAAGAAGGAGTTAAAGGGAAAACTAGAAAATATTTTGAACTGAATGAAAACAAAAGCAAAACCTGTCAAATTTATGGGATTTTGTTAAAATACTGATTAGAGAGAAATCTTTAACTTTTAAAGTTCATTTAAAAAACATCAGAAAAGTTTAAATCAGTGATTATTGTTAGAAGGTGGGAAAAGAAGAACAATTAAACTACTGTAAAAAGAAAAAATAAATTAAGTAGGAATCAAAGAAATAGAAATGAGTAATAAAGGCGACTGAATCAAAAGCTTGCCTTTAAAAAGATCAATGAAATTAGTAAAACTCTAGTCAGATTGATCAGAATAAAAGACATAAATTAAGAAGTAATAAAAGTGGGACTCATGACAGCTACTGTAGGAAATTGTATGGTAATAGGGAAAGTAAATTTTATGAACAACTTTATGCCAACCCATTTAAAACATAAGTAAAATGGACAAATATCTTGAAAGACACAAACTCACTGAAGAAACAGATAATCTGAATAGTCAAATATGTAGGAAAGAAATTGTATTGGCAATTGACAATCTGCTCACAAAGGAAATTTCATGACCAGATAGATGGTTTTACTGGTAAATTATATCAAACAGTTAAGAAAAAACACTATGAACTCAATTTAAACTTAAGGAAAATAGAGGATGAGGGAGCACTTATTTTATTAGATCAGCAGTATCCTCAGATGGTACCAGACCAGATATTATAGAAAAATTTTAAAAAGCCCTACCGATCAATATTCCATGTGAACAAAGATGTATATTTCTTTGAATAAATGTGAGAAAATAGTAATCAATCATATGCTAAAAAAGCTGATATATCATGATTCAGGAAAGATTTCTCACCCACCACCAGTTTCATGGGTAAGGCACCAACAGCAAAGATAAGTTAACAGGAGAAAAGTATATAATTTTATTTAATAGAAGTTTTGCATGACAGAGCAATCTCCATAAGGAAATGAAGACCACAAGTAACAGTGAAACTCGTGTATTTTTATGCTTAGGTTAGATGAAGGGTAGAAAGTCATGGAGAAAGGTGATGGGAGGACAGAGTTTATTTATGATGATAAACTGGGGGGAACTTGGCAAGGTCTGTTTCTTCAGATTATTCTCTTCAAAGATAAGGAGTTCCTTTCTTCTGCATATAGAGTGAAAACCACTCCATGAGGGTCTTACGACCTACTTCAAGAGAATGTCAGAAAATTCTTTCTATGTTTTATGACCTGCTTTAAGAAAGAAGGGTAAGGGGAAGGTGAGAGAGACTTTTCTGCTTTGGCTGTTTTCTCAAATGCCAGTGTGCCATATTTGGGGGCAGCATGCCTTGAACCACATCACAGACTTAAGTGGAGATTACAACAGCAATGAAAAATTTGGTTTAACACTTGAAAATCAATCAATATATTAATTCTTCATTTTAACAACATAATGGAGAAAAGGCATGTGATCATCTCTATGGTGGAAATAAACAGACTAAATTCAGCATTTATTTATGATAAAAATTACAGAAAACTAGAAATAGATGGGAATTTTAAAACCTGATTGAAGGAATGCACAATAAGACAAGTAACATTTTTAAGGTCAGGCATAAGGCTCAGATGTCCACTCTCATAGCTTTTGTTCACTAGGTACTGGATGCCCTAACAAGAAGAGTAGAGTAAAAAAGGAAATCATAAGAATGCATATTGGATAAAAAGAAGTAAACATGTCTTTGTTCACAGGCAAAATGTTTGCAAAAAATGTTTAAGGTTTCTCCCAAAATGTACTCTATACCTAATATTTAACAGGGTGACAAGATTAATATATAAAATTTACTCTTTTTCTGTACATTAGCAACAAATAACTGGAAATATATTTTAAAATGTAACATTATTTACAGCATTCAATTTCATAAAATACTTCAGTGAACATAAAACAAAATATGATGCAAGACCTGTAGAAAAAATATTTTTGAAGAATTGTTGTAAGATATTACAAAGATTCTAAATACATTTGGAGATACACTATGATCACTCATTTCAGGCTATGATATTTTCACAATATTCTCTCCAAACAGACATATAAATCCAATGTATAAATCCTTGATCAAAACGTCAGCAGCTTTTTTTGTGGAAATTATCATGCTGAATCTAATATGCATATAAAATGTGGAGGATATAGATCATCCAAAATAATATTGCAAAAGAAAAAAAAGTTGGATTTTAAGATTTGCTATAAAGCTACACCATTCAAGATAGTGTGTAATATCGGTATAGAAATAAACATCTAGATTATTGGAATATAAAGTCTCAATTGACTTTAGACAGTGGTGCCAAAATTTTCAATTTTCAGGGTGTGTGTGTGTGTGTGTGTCTGTGTGTGTGTGTGTGTGTGTCTGTGTGTCTGTGTGTCTGTGTGTCTTTTTACAAATGGCACAGGAAACAACAGAATATTTCTCTGTATCTGTATCTATAGCCACCCTTGTCATTTTCTCATGCTATATACAAAAGTATTATTTTTAAAAATCTATATAATAGGTCTTTTCCTATTCCAGCCCATTTCTGACAGACCAAGCATCTGTTAACTTGATTATAATAAATTCAGCACACCAAATACTTCTACAAAAATGTTTTGCCTGGCCTCCTCTGTTTAACAGATCTAATCAAGAGATTATATGGAAATTGAAAATAATCAAATTGTTCTCAGGTAGCTGTGGAGGAATTTATAAGGGAAATATCAATGAGTATCTGATTTGTGGCAGTAGTTCTTGAAATTTTTGGATAATCTGCTGAAAACCATACCACCCAATTTTAAACACAATTTCAGCGATTTATGGATTATCTGAAACCCATTCATGGATCCAATTTCAGTTAAGTACACATGGTATATGGCTTAATTCTATGCTATTTTTTTGTCATACTGTCCAATATTAGCAGCAATTATGCTTCACCTCTCTCACTGACATTAGAATTTTAAAATACAGTTAAAATGTATACTGAATTAATCTTTATCCCAAACATCAGTAAGCTAAAATTCATACAAATTAACAAACCAGTCAATAAGTCCAGCCTCACAAAATAGATCCAAGAATGAGCAGGAAAATGGAGCAACCTGAAATATGAGGGCAAAAACAAGGAAACGATTGATCTTAGACTTCATAAGGTATTACACAAAGGCAAGAAACCTGGAATGATGGAAATTCTTGTTTTATTAAGGAATGTATTTATTTTAATAATGTCTCATTGGAACCACATGATTTGAATTCCCTGGAGATTTTCTTGGTATATGGATTTTGCTAGTGTTATTAATATGGAGTTTAAGTTCATTCACTTTATTGAGCATCTGCCATGTGGTAGATGTTGTGTTTAGGCTGTGAATATGAAGATCGATGAAACACAGAATTAGAGTTTTGGCTCTCAAAAAGCTTGCAGGAACAAGAGCAAAATATACCCTGAGCAGAAAAGGAAATGATTAAATATTAGTGGAAGTTCCCTGTGGAACTTTGGGGAAAGACTTTCTTGCAGAAATATTCCCTGTGGAACTTTGGGGAAAGACATTCTGAGAAGTAATCTCGAAAGTGAACTTTGAGGAAAAGGTTTGCTGAAAACAACTGATGATTTAGTTATCAATTGATAACCCATTCTTTTAACTGGCCACTTGGCACAGGGAAGGTACTGAAATGTCATTATAAACCTTATTGTCATAAATTAACTAATTAGCATTATACAGCCTCGTATAATAGAGAAAGCTTGTTGTTCTTAAAGTACATGACAATTAAGCATAGAACTACTGCTGTGGAAAATAAGTGTTACAAAAAGGCTTAAAGGTGTAAATCCTTTTATTGCTCCAATGGGAGTCATTGTATGGAGAAAAGATTGAATTCTTAATGAAAAGCAAACCAGAGTTACAAACCCTTCAAATCCTTTTTTTTTCTTTTTGCTTTTTCTTCTTTCTGTAATGCATAATCCCTCTGCAAGAAGAGATGAAAATCAAGTTGTGTATATGCAAATATGTTTAAAGCAATTAGGTAACTGACAATAGCTCCATGTGACATTTCACAGTAGGCTGGTCTATTGATAAGAACCATCATTCAAGATGCCAACCTCAAAATAAACTAAAGATGCTGTTGTGAATAGGCTAAAGGCAGCAAACAATAAATTGCAATAAATAAAACCTTGATGTTTCTAAGCCATGAATCAAGGGCTTTGTGTCCTAGAGGCAGCAATGACCTTCACCTTGTAAATGCTTGGCAAAATAAGTCTGAATAGTATGACTGATGTAGATCACACAGAGCGGTTATAAAATTACAGTATATTATCTGCCAAATCACAAATGAAGAATCACCTTTTATTGGATCTAAGAAAATCAATGCTTCTGCATCTGAGTTAAGCATTCATAATATTTGTCAGCATCCAAGAGTTATGCTTCAGACAATCTTTTCGTTTTATTAAAGAAGAAGAGAGAAATTAATTTGAGGTCAAGTAACCACTGGAAGCCTTTATATTTTCCATTGGTGAAATATTTGAAGGTCTTTTAAAGTTTTGTTCAAAATAAAAATGAAACCAGTGACAATGTGGAAATGTCTATAGTAAGGTGAGTAACTACCAGGCAGCCTTCTCCTTGTTATTATAGTTTGTATCTTGTTGTTTTAATGAGGAGTGATGAGACAAAATAGAGCAAAGAGAAACCAAGGCAGAATGTTAGCAACTCTTGCGTAATAGTGAGATCTGTTAGACTGTGGATGGGTCTCCATGGGGAGCTTCTTCACCTGAGTTACTTAAATCCGAACTGGACAGAGAACATGCCATGTGTACAATCTCGCAATACAGCTGGACATACTAGATTACCTAGTAGTTATTTTTATTTAATTTCTTATTGTTTAATATATATGAGTTTTTGCTCAACAAAAGTTCATCCCAAGGATGAATTATATCAAGGCAACATAAACCTTCTGCTTAGGGTGTGAAAGGACTTGAGTTAATTTATTGGCCTATTATGGGCCAAACATTAGGTGTTTTTCTAATAAATAAATATATGAATATATTGTCATGATAGAATTATTACTCCAATCAGATGAAGATGCTTATTGACAGAGATTTTAATGTAACATGCATAGTCTGGTAAAAAATGAAAAAAAAAATTGAAGAATGAAGGAATGTCAGCTGGTGTTGGACCAATGTCTCTCTGCCATCAATCGTATGCTATTCCCACTGCAAACCGTTATACGATCAAAAATCAACCTAAGTGCCTCATTAGAATCTCTAAATATTGAAGATACTATAATTACATAAGTTGATAAGAAATCTCCCTTTGAATGATTACCAGATATCCCAAGCTGGTCAGTGTGCTATGATCTATTAATTCCCAAATCCCACTTAACCTCTCATTAATTTGTCTATGAGGACAACTCTGATTACAGGATGAGTGACTGAGACTGATGTCCTCCACATGGGATGAGGTGATGAGGGTAGAAAAATTAAAAAGGGTTAGAGTAAAACATGCACAGAACAATGAAAAGCCAAAGATAATTGTCATATTCTGTCTCATTGAAATATTGGAGACTAATAAATCACCATTCTTTGCCTATGTAGAGAAGCCTTGGTTGCCTAACTGTGAGAAGCAAAAAAGATTAGTTTCTTACACATGCTTGCAACCAAACCTCATATTTTCAATACTACTACTCATGTATATTAGAGAAAAAGATGAGATAAAAGTAGAAAACAGTGTATTTTTAATTTTAATTGATTTTAAATTATGACAGTAATTTTGATAATGAGGATAAATTGTGAAAGGATCAACAGACAGCTCCCTCTGCCATGGGTGAGTAAATCAAAGGAAATTAAATCTAGCCCAAAACAAAAAAGAAATTACCCTCCTGCTGTAAATAAGTAGAAACCTAGGAAAAAATAAAAAGAAAACAAGCATTTTCAGACATTGGCTTTTAGACTGCACTACTATCTTAGAAAAGGGAGACAAATGAAGTTCCAGCTTCATAAATCTTTCTGCCTGAGGTCTATTCTGGAAGTGCAGTGCCGAGAGAACCCAGATAGAGCCTAACCATCTTGCTTAGTTGAGAATGGAGAAATCAGATATCAGGGATACTAAAGTGCCTATGATATTCTAGGTAGATTATTGATGAGCAGAAAGTTATGCTGAGACAATGGCTCAAAAATCTTTATGGAGCTTTCTCTGTTCTTTGGATGATTATGGATCTGCACATAGAGACTTTAGGGGTGTGTGTGTGTGTGTGTGTGTGTGCACGTGTGTTTGTGTAGGGGGGTGTGGATGTGGATGTGGGTGTGCTTTGAAGATACTACTCCATTGTCTTATGACTTGCATAGTTGCTGATAATAAGTCTGCTGAAACCTTCCCTTTGTTCATATATAAAGTATCTTTTTTTGTCTGGCTAACCTCAAGACTTACTTTTTCTCTAATAATCAGCATTTTTAATATGGTGTGTCAAAAGGGTTTTGGGTGCTTTGTTTTTACTTAGCCTGCCTCATGTCCTCTGAACTTTGTTGACATATGATTTAGTATCTTTCATTAATTTTGACAAACTATTGGACACTATCCCTTCAAATTTTTTCGTCCCATTCTCTCTTCTCCTTTGGGATTTCAGTTACGCACATGTTATACGGTTTGATGTTGTTCACATCTCTTGTTTTTGCTCTATTCTTTAAAAAAGTTACAGAAATCTTTTATTTTCTGTTTTTTTGTGGGTGGTTTCTATTGACCTAATTTTAGTTTACTAATTCTTGTCTTAAGGGGTCCAGGAGTTTATCAAACATGTATTTTTTAATCATGTTTTTAATTTTAGCATTTCAATTGAATTTTTTAATTACGTTTCTATCTCTCTGCTGAAATTTTCCATCTGTGCGTCTGTATTGTTATCCTCTTAGTCAAGAGACTCTTGCATTTTAGTCATAGCTATTTTAAAAATCCCTGTCAGATAGTTGCAACATCTGAGTCGTCTCTAAAACAAGTTTCATTGAATACTTTGTCTCTTGAGCGTAAGTTTTTTTTTTTTATTTTTTCTTGCTTTATTGTGGGTCTCATAATTTTTTTTGTTGACGATGGATATGACAGTAGAGACTGATTTAAATAATGTCTACCTGAGATTGAGCATGCTTTGATTTTTGATAGGCCTTTTTTGGGCTATTGAATTAACTTGGTCTGTTTTTGAGCTGGGTTTGGGGATTGTTGTGTGTAGTTACCCTCCTGCACCATAGGTAACAATGATTCTCAGTTCCTGTAGCATTATCTTGCATTTAGGGTGGGACTCTTTTGACAAAAGACTTTTCTTAATATCTGTTTCACCCTTGTGTTAGGTTTTCCTCTTATTTCTACACCTCAGAGAAGATCTCCACCAATCTTCTTGATCCTCTCCCTACAGTATACTGTTGTTAGTTACTACTCAAAACCTGCTAACCTCATGGTAGAGATGGAGGGTTTTCTGTTTTTCTGATTCAGCCTCAGTCTTCATAGGTGCTGTGTCCCTGGGTCTTGGAGGTAAAGTCTTCCCACTGAACTTTTTCTTTGCTCAATGGAAGGGAATCTTTCATGGTCTGGGCTAATGATGTCTTCTTTCTCCTTCCATGTTAGAGTTTTGTTCTGTCTTAAATTGCTCTGTCAGATGCAAAGGGTGCTACTCTTTTCCTGGTGATGAAGTCATTGCTGTGTAAGGGAGAGAGAGGATCTGGACCCAAGCAGAGCTTTGTGCCTTTCTTATAGTTACTGCTGCTCCCCTCCCCTAACCTTGCCAACCTTGCTGCCAGTCTTTCTCAGGAAAGCCTTGTGAGCTCTGTGTAGAATGATTTGTGAGTTCACATTCCTCCAGTGTCTTTGACTCCACCAGGTTCCACACTCAAGTGGGTCCTTGGCCTTAGCAATTCATTACAAATTTTCAAATTTTACTGATTTCTTCTCACAAGCTTTTCTGGGGTCCAGTGTCTGCCCCAGGTAAGCAAGTGCATGCATCCAGTGTGTCACTGAGGGTGAATCTTTTGTTACATTGGGAATTATTTTGTTGCTTTGGCATTGCAGTTCTATGATGGAAAGGCATTGATTATGAAGATTACCTACCACTTTCTGTTGAAAAGATAGAAACACTTTCCAGCTAACCTAAGATGAAGCTGAAACACTTCTAAGATACTAAATTGTAGGTGGCTTCTTATGTAGAAATTAATAAATAAAAGAGATAAGTAAAACAATGCTCATTTTTATTTTACAGAAGAAATGCCGTAAAAGCTACACATTTTCCTCTACCTAAACTTCATTTGTATTGCATGATTTTAACACTTGCCATTTTCATTATTATTTAGTTCAAAATGATTTGTTATTTATTTTGTGATTTAATTTTAATTTATGTGCATTAAGAGCATATAATTTTTTTGAATGCTCTTTCACAAAATTTGAATCTTATATGTTACATATGAGTTCTTTTCTTATTAATATAAGTGATTATTTTCCCATGTCACTAAATATTTATCAAAATAACTTTAATTAAAAATATTTTATTTCAAATGTAATTTTATTTCAAAATATTTTATTTCAAATGTAATTTTAAATAAAAATAACCAAAAAAGTATAGTTTTTAAAAACAAAAAAATACTTAAGCTTTTGGGTAAATAGTTTCATTAGCTTTAAGTTTCTTTGAAATGATTACAGTCTTATTGCTTATATAAAATATACAGACTTGGTTCGGAATCAAAAGTTGTATATATGTTCCACTTAAAACAACACTCAAGCTTGCATAGGCATCTTTTCAAAGAAAATATACAAATGGTCAATAAGCACATGATGAGATATTCTGTGTTTTTATTCATGAATGAAATGCTGGAGGGAGGGTAGAATGCATAGTTAATTAATAGGTAGAGACTTTCAGCTTGAGAATATGAAAAAGTTCTGGAGGATGGTAGTACTGCACAACAATGTGAGTATAGTTAATGCCACTAAACTGTGTATTTAAAATGGTTAAAGTGGTATAAAAAATTTATAAACAATAGAAAAAGGCACTTGATTCTGGTATAGTTACAAAAAAAACTTTGTTATCTCTGATAAATTATCACTGTAATATCATACACAACTATTAAGCATTAAAGCAGAAACTTGACTCCTCATACCTCAGCTGTGTTAATGGTTAACTCTAATTTTCTTCTGCATAAGTACTAATAATTCTCCTTTATCACCACAGAGGAGATAGTGACATGTCATTTTATATATACTTGCCTTAAAGAGAGATTTTGATTAGATATATGGGAAAAATGGCATACTAGCATAAAAGCAAATAATTCTTTCTTAAATTTGACGTTTAAAATCACTCAGAGAAGAGAAAATGCATTAAGTGGCCGGTTAGGAAGGAACTTACAATTCTCAGAACTCAAAATATTCTTAAAGATAATTTGAACATAGCTTTGCAATTATGTAAATCTCCATATACCTTAAATGGTTAGGCTGCAATTTAAATCTAATGTATGAATTGTAGGAGTGCATTATTGCCTGAAGGATGCTAAATACTTTAAGCTGTAAACAATATTACCTTTATTAATTGTATGTTATGCTCTAGTGTGTTATTTTTTTCCTCTTGATGAAATCTCTGGTTTTTCAAAGAACTCAGTTTAAGAAGACAGGCTTTGTTTCCTCTTCAGAATATATTCTAAGTCTGATATCCAAGTTCCACACTTCCCTCACTATTTTTCCAATATAGATGCTATCCCTGAAATACTTGTTTATTTTATGTTTGTATTTATATAATTATAGTTTATGTCTACTTGATTATAATTTACAATTACATCTTGTAATAATCACTGAGATCTGAAGAATGGAGAGCCTAGACAAATAATGAAGACAAATAATTAATATCAGCTCAACAGTAATTAATATAAGATCACAGAAGTCCTGGACACATGAAATATCATCATTCTTTTTCTCAAGCTCTGTTTGTCCATTCTTCTTCTGCCTTCATGTGGCACATTTAGTGACAGTGTTCATTTCCTGAGCATATTCAACTATCACAGAAAATAGCACCCACCAGGCAAATTTTACACTTGGAAAAGTCCCAGAACCTATGTTGGGTGAAACTATTTTTGAGGGAGTGGTGGTGATACGAAGGGACTGGCAGAAGAATAATAATGATATGCATCTGCGATTCTAACTATTTCCATATATTGTATCTGCCCTTTTCCTATATTATTCTATTATTCATTGTACTTCATATAATGTGCAGTGTTTTTTGCTTTTAATATCATTTATATACATTACGTTGTTAGGAACTTAGTTGATGACTAATAATTGGAAATTCTCATACAGATGATAAGGAGCAAGGAACAATTGGAAATTATTTCATCAATTACACAGCTAGACCTCACTGTTGGTTGAGTTCATTATCATTCAACACTCAGTGGCAAGATCAGTGATGCAAGAGAAGCTCTGCAGAGCTGTCCATCCTGCCACCCTTCCCACCATGAAGGGTGAATGATTTCACTTTACTAACTCAGCCATTCATCTATTTGTCTCTGTTACCCTTTCTCTTTACTTTTGTTACTTATCTTACTGTACCATCTGCTCAAATCTTTCTCTTTGCTTTACATTCAGGATTCTTTGACAGACTAAATGACCATTAAAAGCTTCCAAAATAGATCATCCTTATTGAATATAACTATTTTGTAGCATAGTCTATGTAACCTGTGACAAGGTTACTTATTTTTGTACCAATCATTCATTCTGGAAATTAGTAATAACGATAACAGAGCTTTTTGGAGAATATCATGTGCCAGAGCTTTTTAAGGATTTTTACATATATTACTTAATTTAATTTGCACTATAATGCTACTGAGTGGTTGCTATTGATACATTTAGCTCACAGAGTCAGAGGTAGCATAAATAAATGACCCATGATTACGTAACTAACAAGTGAGAAACCTGGATGTTGCCTCAGTATTCTGCCTCCAGGTTTTAACTTTGAACCACCATGGTATACTGCTTCTCTGGACATCTTTTTGTTTCTCTGTAAAATGAAGATTTAAGATTCAGACCTGTATATACATGGTATTCTTCATATCACACAATGTATTGTAACTGAGGCACTTAAATTAATTACCTGCTGGCTTTCCTCAGAATGGCACTGGGTGCGTAACAGGCACAACACATTTCCAAAAAAAAAGAAAACCTTTCTGTGTTGTAAATTCTTGGATGGTAATAACTATGTTTTATATTGTTTTCATACCCACCTGCCCAGTACCATGGCTTATGCATGTAGCTAATTAATGAAAATAGTTCCTGGAGGAATGAGATGCTATGGTGTAAATGTTTGTCCCTGATAAAACTCAAGTTGAAACTTCATCTCCATTGTAAGTGTATTAGGAGAGTAGGAAATCTGTGTATGGTATTTGAGAGGTGGGAGTCATAGGGAGGTGATTAGGATTAGATGAAGACACAAGGGTGGGACATAGTGGCTTTGTAGAAGGAGAAAGAGAGACTGAGCTGGCACTCCAGGCCCCTCACCATGTGCTGCCCTGTGCTGCCTCAGGACTCTGCCTGGAGTTCCCAGCAGCAGAACAATCCTCTTCAGAAGTAGCCCCTCGACTTTGGACTTCCCAGCCTCCAGAACTGTAAAAAATAAATTTATTTTCTTTATAAATTACCCAGTCTCAGGTATTCAGTTATAGCAACAGAAAACAAGCTAACTCAGAGAGGGAAGATAACTAGCATGTGAAGTGCCTGCTGTAACCAGTCAAGTCCTAGATACCAGCTAAGTCCAAAAATATAAACATGACATGAACTCCCTGTCAAAAAATAACAATTTCACACCATTCATATGGTATATTGAGAAAGACAAAAGAAAAAAAGTTTAGAGATGTAAAGTAACTTTAACTAAATAATAGAGTTTGTGACCTAATGGGTATGTCATTGAATACATTATTTGAGCCAGTTGTTATTCTGAGTCCATCATATAATTATTTTATTTAGTCTTGTTGGCTTTATAAGGTAGATATTATAAGTAATGAATTGTGATTTACCAACATTGCCTTCTGCATCTGAGGTCTTATTAGCATTATAGAAGAGAAGCCAAGAACTGTATTTCCCGGAATATTTGTCTCTAAATGGTTCTCAGTTAGAGTTAGCCCATGAAAAGTAAGACTTGGAAGGAGGAGAGGAAGAGAGTCCATTATTCTTAGCAGAGAGTGTGGACAAACGCAGTCTGGTTTCAGACATTTTTATAAGCTCTGGCATATCAAATCCTACTGAACTTCTATCTTGCAATTGTGGCAGCCAGACATTGCATGTTCTCAGATTTCTGTGAACTCCCTCTTCACACTTCTTGGGGCCAGATGCTCCAGAATCTCAGACTCTTGTGTGCTTTGACTTTTTCACCTGCTCTGTTCATAAGGCTGAAGTCCTTTGGGGCTGTTTCTCTGGTTCTCCAGCTACTGCCTGCTTATCTAAATCTTCCCTACCCAACCTTGTCTAATTTTTACATTATCTAATCCTTCTATTAAACTGTTTTTTACCAATAAAAATTGTAGTGACTCTTTTTTGAGGACCAAACCCAATTTTCTATCTCCATTTCACAGGTAAAGTAACTGTGTTAAGAGCAGTTAAGACGCTTGTTAACAGTCCCCAGTTAGGAAATGTTGAAATTGAGATTTAAACCCAACAATTCTGACTCCAGAGGCCAAGTCATTATCCAATAAGACTGACCATCACTCTACCCATATGAGAAAATAGGATTCTAAACCAGCTTCAGCTGATTCAAAGATTTTTGCCTTTTCCTCTAGACAAGTAAATATTTCATGGAGTTAAACAAGATCTTAATTTTAGAAGAGGAAGTGAAAGCTACTTGTTAAATCAGAAATTGTATGGAAGTTGGGTGCATGCAGTAGTAGTTATTTTAATATTTGGATAATGATGTTTTCACCTTTGGTCCTTTTGTAGCTTTCTTTCATTTTTATTTAGTTGAGCAGTCATGTGTTTTAGACACCACTAATTTCAGTCCCTTTTTATGTATCCAGGAAAAACACTGACAAATATTGAACATGGGCTATTGTGCAAGAAAAAAAATAAATAACCCAAGATCTGTAAAATAGACATTGGGCTTATTAACTGTAGTGTGTTCACATATACTAGTATGAAAACCAGAATGGACAGATCTTAGTAATATAATATTAACAAAAAAATAGGATCTAAAAGATTTTATACAAACAAATACAATCTGTGTAAAATTAAAAATAATTAAAAACAAAACCATGTAGGAAAGCATGAAGATGTATACAACTACATAAAAAAGAAAGCAAAGAAATGTGGCAGTGGGGTTCGGAATGATGATGATGGCTGATAGGGAGAGTTGAGGAGATATGATGGGGAAACTACAAGATCAGAGATAGATGATTCTTGGCAGCAAGGTCACCTTATTACCATAATAAAAATAATCGGCTTTTAATAGTTCACATTCTGTAAATATACTTAACATAGTTTAAAATGCTAATACTTTGAAATTTAAAACAATATGTTAATTCATTAACATATTCTGTTGTTTTTACTTGTTCTCCTTCCCTATGCTATACACCTTTTCACAAAGAAAATTTGAGAGATTGCTGCCTGCCAGAATTCCACAGAGTATAAACTCACAGAAGAGTTTATATGGAAACCATAGACGTGAGAGGGAGATGGAACAGAATGTTGGTTCTCTAAAGTAATTTTCACCTCTCTTTAAATGTACGTAACTAGTTTCTTCTAAATGCATTTCCTCAGTGCAATAGACATATGTTCTTCTTGAACACCTGCACAGAGTAAGTGTATTCATGTTGAATTTTGCTTTATCTTTGGGCACTGACCATTCAGTTATTATTACTAACTGTGAAGGGTGCTGACCAGATGGCTTTTTGGCTATAAGGCATCTTGTTATGTAAGCTTAGCTCTTGCAAGTAATGTAAGTTATTTCCTCTGCTCTTGGGAAGAGTACAGAAAAAAACGAGTGGGGGGAAATATGGAGATTTTGAGTCACAAAGGCAAGTCTGAGATTAGATTTTCATTGTAATTTAATTGTTCAGACTGCATTTTTACTAGTCCATAACCATTAACTCTTTTAAAGTGTAATGATGTCACAGTGATGATTTGCCTGTAGATAAACTTTTAATAAACATTAATAAATTTGCAGTATCTTTCCAGTGAAGCATGTATTCCCAATTATATTTCTTGCCCATATTTTGATTTATTTTCCTCCAGACCTTAATTCCATTCTAAACTATTGCTTCTACAGCATTCAATGGATACACAAAATAAATTTGTGAAAACTTAGAGATCTATGTTAGACTCAGAATCAAGTAGCTAATGAATTCTACATCTATATTATTTAAAGATATATTTATATGGAGGGGTGCCAGGAACTTTTTGCTTTTGCAGGAGCTTAAGTCATAGGAATGAGTGGGATGGAGAGAAGCAATGAGAAGAAGGAGAAAATGAGTCACGAAGATTGTGGTATGCACTTTGTAAACTATAGAGTTAAGTGATACTTCTTGTATTCTTTATTCATTTACACAATTTATGAAACAGGTACTATGTAAGTACCGTTTAAGTGCCTAGGCTTAACAAGGCAATAATAAAATAAGTCATAATAAATGTGATAAACATTTATATGCAGCTAATCACAACACAAGTTGAAGAAGTAATATGGACAATGGACAAAGGCTTCGCTTACAGAACATGGGAAAATTCACTCTGAGAATAGGGATAAGCACCAAGAAAGCCTTGGTTAGCAGTCATACAAGGAGGTGATGTTTGGGTTTGATCTTAGATAGAAATTCACTGGAGAGAGAATTAGAAATGGAGAGAGTACAAGGCAAAAAAAGAAGAACAAGCAAGCAAAACAATGGAATGCATTAAAAAAAAATCTGGCCGGGCACTGTGGCTCCTGCCTGTAATCCCAGCACTTTGGGAGGCAGAGGCGGGCGGATCACTGGAGCCCAGTAGTTCAAGACCAGCCTGGCCAACATAGTGAAAGCATGTCTCTACTAAAAATACAGAAAAATTAGTGGGACATGGTGGTGCATGCCTGTAATTCCAACTACTTGGGAGGCTAAGGCAAGGGAATCGCTTGAACCCAAGAGGCAGAGGTTGCAGTGAGCCAAGGTGGCATGACTGCACTCCAGCCTGGGCAGCAGAGTGAGACTCCATCTCAAAAAAAAAATCTATGATAAGGGGTACGACAATCACAGCCATGATAGTCATAGGTGGGACAAAGATACCCCAGGATGAGCCAAATAAATTAATACTCTCAGGGACATAAGCAGCTTCTCAGATGCTTTCAGTTGTACAGTGCTCTGAGTGACCATGTACTTGGCTGCTGGTGAGACAGGCAATGTGTAGCTTTCAATTATTGGATGCTTGGGCTTCCAGGACCTCTGCCATCATTGTATTCATTCTTACTAATCTTGATCAATGGCAGAGTCCAGGTCCCTCAGATAACACATGAAAATTACAATTAATTCCCATACATTTTTTCTGCATATTCTATAATCAGATTCAATTTCTCGTCTTTACCTCCATTTCAGGACTTCCACTGTGTTGTGAAAATCCCTAATTCTTCATTAGCTCTTCTTTAAACATTTTCCCCCACGTTCACTCCTGCTTGGCCGTTGCCCATGTTTTCTCAAGCATGACACATGGCTCAGGACTTCACTATGAGACATGTTTCCTTTTGGTTTCCCAAAGCCACTTGCAAATGATCTTTTTCTTCTTTAAAACACCCAGCTCCTTTAACTTCCCCAATGCCAGACTTGACTTTTCTTATCATTCATTGTTGCTGTCATCTATCAGTTTTCCAGGAATACTCCTTCATTAATTGATAACCTCATTATTTCCAGTATTAGTCCTGTCATAATTCATGAAGTCATCAACTCTCCAAACTCTGGTTTTCTATTTGCTTGCCCTCCTTGGGTCCAATGTTAGATTTTTCATCCATTCCCCACTCAGCCATTCAATGGTCTCAAATAATCCACTCCCAATCTACCATCTCCTTTCCTTTAGCTCACTAACTCCATTTCCCCCACGCCAGCATTTCTCCATCTTCATGGAGACAAAAATTTATTTCACTCTCCATTACTCTTCTTGCATTCTATTGTATAGACAACAATCTATTACTTAACATTCAAAACACTCCTTCGACAACACTTCAACGTACTGGTGTCACTCTTCTTATTCACTGGCAAAACTCTATCCCAGGTTAAATTCAACTCTGCACCTTATCTTTGCATGAGCAGAAATCTATGGCAGAAAAATATTATAGAGTATATTGTTTCTATTGTTAATAGCTCTGAACAAAAATTTCAAGTGGACAAGTTTTCTGACACAAATATCACTTTGGCACACAACCGTAAAAAATTATATTACTAGCAAGTTCCCTTCTCCACCCTCTAGGATGCCCATCTCACACTTCTCTCTTTGCAAACACTATATCCCCCATCCTTCACAGCTAGTGACTTCTCTACATACTTCTTAGAGAAAACAGAGTCAGCAGAGAAGAATTATCTTACCTGAAAATACCAACAACTACAGACTAAGTGCAATACTACCTGTGCACTTTGTGTTCACTTATGCTATGGTAAAAGAAATGTTTTTGTTTAAATTTCAGCTCTCCTCTCCACTCATTTCAATTTTGTGCATGTGTGTATCTTTTCAGACTTTTTCCTTACATTTTCCTCTTTCTCCTGTATTATTAATTTCTCTCTTTCTTACTTGATTAAATCCATTGGTGTACAAATATTTCTTAATATTACCTACCCTAAAAAAATACTAAGCTACCCTTGTCCTTCTATCTCTTTGATTTACATTGATGTTTTCCCGCTCTTCTTCATAATAGCACACTTCAAATGATTCTCTATGCCTCAGTCTCTGTTTTCTTTCACTTGCCTCTTCAGTTGACTTCAATAGTGTTTTTCACCACACTGTTTAATTGAAATGGCTCTTATCAAAATCTACAGTATCCTGAATCATCCACACACACACACACAGATTTCATTTTAATCTTCATCCTATTTCTCTTTCAGCAGTATTTGACAAAGGTGACCATATGTGATTGACATATTTTCCTCTCTAGGCTTTAGTGAAATTACACTTCCATGGATTTCTTTTCTTCTTATTGATTTATCTTGCAAACTTACATGCTTACTACTCCTCCTCCACTAAAGACTTCTGACTGTGGTAATGCCCCCGCATCTGTTCTTTCCCATTTACATGATCTTCTTAACCCTATCTCATCTAGTACTGTGGCTTTAAGTTATTGCCTATAAAGTGAATTCTGTCAACATCACTTATAGAGTATGACTTTTACATGTGAATGAGGTTATGTGAATTCCTTAGCTCCAATCATCAAATGACCTCCATTTCATTCAGAGGAAAAGAAATGTCCTCAAACTGATGTGCCTGCCCTTCATTACTTCACTAATCTCTCTCTTATTCCCTCCGCTGCCTACTCTGCTGTGCTTACAGGGTACCCTCTGATTGTCGGATCATCTTCAAGAAGGATAAGTGTGCTCCTGCCTTAGGGCATTTGCCCTGGCTGCACCATCCCCCACATAAAGCTTTGTTCCTGCAAGTGTCCACCTGACTCATTCTAACTATCTTCAAGTTTTGTTCAAATGTCACTGCGTTAAAATCACATCCTCTTTGGAAGTCCTGTTCTTATTTGCCCGAGTCTTTCTCTTCCATAACATTGATCTGCTCCTATCATATTATATGACAATGAGTATTTATTTTTTTGTTTTTGTTCATTTAAAAAAAGTGTTGTCTTTCTCCAGAAGAATATAATCTTCATGAGCCATGAATTGTTTATATTTTTATGTTTTGTCAATTTACATAATCAAGCACCTACCTGTCTGCATTTAATAAAGCCTCAGGATGAATTGGTTGACTGAAGACATGTCCATTGGAGAGGCTATATTTTGAAAAACAATATATTACATTCTGACAACAATATTGACCAACTGGAAATATCATATTTTGGTGGAATTTCAAATTGGTGTAAGCATTTCAGAAATCTGTTTGCCAGTACCTAATAATTCTGAACATAAACTTGTCTAATAAACATGCGATGCCAGTTCTGTATTCTAAGCATCTACCCAAGAAAAATGAGTGTCTGTTTCCTCTAAACACATTCTAAAATAAACATATTCTAAAATATTCATTCTCACATTATTTATAATGAAAGAAAACTTTTAAAAAATTCTAAAATATCTACTCACGGTAGAATGGATAAGTAGCTTCTTTATAATAATACAATGGAAGTTTGGGTACCAGTTAAAAATAGTAAATAGCAATTGCACACAGTGACATGGATAAACTAAAAACAATAGACAAACAAACAAAAACTAATGTTGACAAAAAGAAAACAGACACAAAATAATGACGAACATGTGCTTTTTTACTTAAATGGAATTCAGGAACAGAAACAGACAAAAGTAGTCTATGATAATTGCGGAAAGCATCCTCCAAGATGGCCCCAACTTAGCTTGTGACCTGGAATTCATGCTCTTGCATAATGCCATGCATTTCGGTGTGTGCTTAATGTAGCAACTTGCATGTAGAATAGAGAACATGGTATAAGCAATAGGATGGCACTTCTGATACTGGGTTAAAAAAAAAAAAAATAACATGGCAGCTGTGCTGGGTGGCTTACGCCTATAATTCCAGCACTTTGGGAGGCCAAGGCAGGTGGATCATGAGGTCAGGAGATCGAGACCATCCAAGCCTACATGGGGAAACCCCTTCTCTAATAAAATACAAAAAATTAGCCAGGCATGGTGGCACACAACTGTAGTCCCACCTACTTGAGAGGCTGAGGCAGGGGAATTGTTTGCACCTGGGAGGCAGAGGTTGCAGTGAGCCGAGATCGCGCCACTGGATTCCAGCCTGGCAACAGAGCAAGACTCCATCAACAACAACAACAACAACAACAAACAACAACAACAACAAACAACAACTAAGACAGAAAAAAAAGAAAAGGAAAACATGGCACCATCCATTTATATTCACTATCTATTGCTCATTCTGAGAGAAGCCAGCTGCTGTGTGAAGAGGCCAATTGGTAAAGAACTGAGTGAGACTTCCAGCCAGTAGCCAAGAAATCAGAGATGCCCTTAGTTCCACAGACCAAGAAGAACATCGTTTCTTTTTCTTAACAATTATGTGAGTGAGCCTGGAGGTGGATTCTCCCCAGGCAAGACTCCATAGCCCCAGCTAAGAAATAAACAATAGCGGCATTAGAGAACTCAAGCTGGAGGTACCCAAGCACACACATCAAGATTCCTAGCCCACAGAAACTGTGAGAAAAATAAATGCTTCTGGGGTTTTTTTGGTTTGTTTGTTTGTTTTTGATATTTGGAAGTGGATGCTGCCATAATAAAACTCTAAACTATGGAAAGGTCTTTGGATCCAGGCAATTAATTTTGAGGAGCATGTTAGTAAAAGCTTTTAAATATCTGGAAAAGACTATAGAATATTGGACTTTGGTGAGGTTATTGATGAGAGTTTAAAGGGAAGAGAGAAAAATCTTATTGGAAATTAGCAGCAAGGGGTTATTTTCCTATAGTAGCAGAAAGCTTGTGAACAATGTTGTTGGCCATCATGTGGAAAGCAGAATATGTGCCTAATGAACTGGTGATCTAGCTATGATTTCAGTGTAAAATGTTCAAGATGCTAACTGGGTTTTTTGTTTGTTCGTTTGTTTGTTTGTTTATTTGTTTGTTTTGAGACAGAGTTTCGCTCTTTTTGCCCAGGTTGGAGTGCAATGGCGTGATCTTGGCTCACTGCAAACTCCGCCTCCCAGGTTCAAGTGATTCTCCTGCCTCAGCCTCCCGAGTGGCTGGAATTACAGGCACCCACCACCGCACCCAGCTAGTTTTGTATTTTTAGTAGAGACAGGGTTTCCCCATGTTGGCCAGGCTGGTCTCGAACTCCTGACCTCAGGTGATCTGCTCCTCTCGGCCTCTCAAAGTGCTGGGATTACAGGCATGAGCCACTGCACCCACCCTAACTGAGTTCTTTTTGCTGTTCATAGTAAAATGTGAGAGAAGAAAGATAAATTGAGAGGACTTTTATATAGAAAGAATCCCAGGTGGACTCATTGGTTTTAAAACTGTTCAGCCTATCCAGATAGTTAAAATTAAGAAATGGCTTCTGACTAAAGATCAAAGCTAGGGCACTGCCAGAAAAATGTAGTCTAATGATAAAGCAAAGAGTGTGATTGTAAACATTTTGTTAAGATCTGAGAAAGTGAATTATGTGTTCCAGAGTACTATTCAGTCACACAAAAGGCTCTTTAAAGATATTATGTCTGCTCTCATTCAAACAACAGCGGGATGTAGAGGGATGCTATCATTCAAACAACAGTGTCTCTAGGAAGATTAAAGGCAATTTCTCTCAGCAATCTTGGTAGAAGCCCAAGGTAGGGAAGTCTTACCTAGAAGAGATCTGTGGATGTGGCATTTGTCCAGTGAAGTGAACCAATGAGATTGTTAGGAGGCCCACAAGGTTTTTGTGAGGATTTTATTATATAAGTTAAAAACAATTACAAACATCCAATATTAAATTTAATAATATGTGTAAATCATATTATTCAACACTTTGTTGTATAGAAAAATGGAAATTAAAGGATGCACCTCTAGAGCTAAAGAAAACCTGCAGCTAGAGCAAGCAAGATCTTTATGCAACACACACTCTCTATTTCCTAGTTCTGCTAATGGAAACCAACCTTTTTGTGAACAAATACATTTCTGTTTGTATCAACAATAGTCATGGTCATTAAAGACTGGATTGATTCCCATGAAAATATCCTGTACTGAGTTCACCTCAGAAGGGGAATGAAATGAAAAACTGCATGAAACTCCTTTTTATACTGCACTGACTAGAAAATAGACCTCATCTTTCCATAAGAGTGATCTGTTTTATTTAAACACAGGATGGTTAAGATAAAAAAAAAAGAAAAAAAGAAAGGCTTATCAGGCCCATGACAAATAAGATATCCCAATATCAGGTCGGCTGTTATGTTTTAAGAGTTAGGTGTCAATTTATCATGTTTTTCTGGACTATTACTAATCTCCCATCTCCCATGCCATCCAATATTTCTTTGTCCCATTTTATCTAAAATCTTATTTTGCCAATAAGTACCATGTCTATGATAAACAAGGAGTTTTATTAGCCAGCTTTTGTTCAAAGGAAGAAATATGAATAGAATATATTGTTTTTTATGTAGTCACTGAAATAAAACTCTTTGGTAGCTTTGATCAAATTATTTTTGTTTGACACTGGACAAGTCATTTCAAATAATCCAGTGCATTTTGAAAACAATGTAGAGAAGATTGTAAAAGGTACCTAATGGTTTTTATCTTCAATGAACTATGCTATTCTGGGTTAAGAAAGGCATATTTGATGGGAACAGAAAGAAATGAGCTCTGATGAAAAATATTGTAACAACCACCCAGCTTCCCATAACACTAATGGCATCAGTAATAAGTGTAAGGTGGTTACTTTTCTCTGCTTTTAGTATTAAGGATAATGAGACTTTAGCCGCAGTAGAGAAGAGAGCTTCTCCCTGAAGCTGGGAAGATAACAGCTCCAAGATGTAGGTAATATGTGAATAGGAGATTCAGATGGAACCATGAGTCACTGGAGATGATTTAGAAAGAATTTTAGTTGATTAAATCTTTGACTTCATTGTAGTTATTTTTCTGATGTCCAGATGACATTTCAGTTCTGAGTATTTTTTATCAATTGGACTTGATAATAATTGTTAGCACAGGTGCACACTAACACTAAAATATCATTCTCTAGGCCATTAGTGCTTCTGTAGTTTGAAAGTCACATGCAATAGTGCAGGAGTGGGAAAATAAGTCATGCTCATATGTGCTACAATGCTCTTATAGGTAAGGTAGGTATGATTGAAGCATAGAAATAGCCATGATAGTTGAAATCTCAAACATTTATTTTGGCTTCTGGTTTCAACTACTTTGGTCATTGTCATTTACATTATTTCTCAAGTTGCTGTGAAATAACGTAACAGCACCAGACCAATCTGGGTCAGCTTTTATGTAACAAAGTTGTGCATTGTTTTTTAGTTGTCATGGACCCCCAGGTCAGATAACCTGAGTATGCTCAAATGAACTGGGTGTATAATCACAAGGGGAACTTCAGTGCCCTACCAAGGAGCAGGGACTAAATTAAGAAGGGAGATCATATGGTAGAATCCAATATCCAATCAGATTGAGCTCTGGCATCACTGCCATGGCAGAGTCCAGTTGGATACTTCCTCCCAACATCAGGTCATTGCAAGATCCAATCCAATCACACCTAATTACCCTATGCTTATAAAGCTTGACCCAGCTCCCAGCAGAGGGAGACATGGGTTTGGGAACTATCTGTGGTGTTCTCCTTACCTGTCACAATAAAATCCCCTGCTAAATCCTCCTAAGTTATGATTATTGGGTTGATACTCGCCAAGCAACAGAACCCACCCATTGTATGGGTAACAATAACAATGATTTTTGTTCATTTATTTGTTTGGTTGTTGTTTCTTCACTTCCAAGTCAACCTCTGGTAAAGATCCTAACAAACTATGGAATGATTTATGACAAGAAGTGGGAAGAAATTAGAGTCCCAGATAATTCATTCACTGGCTCATCTTTATAGCCTCCTCTTTCTAGATCAGTGATTGGTAAATCTTGGTTGCATTAAAGGACCTCAGCATATGTATGGTGTGTGGAGGAGTCCACTGATTTACAAATGCACTTCCCAGATTTAAAATTCCTTCATTTCAAAGGAACATGTAAAGAGAAAACAAAGAAGTTGAAGTACTGGGGAGTAGAGGCTTGGCAAAGAATCCAAAACAGATAATCCTATACTATTACATGCTTTTTCTCAAAGTGATACTATAATATATGAAAGCACAGACATAATTTACTAATGTGTTTTCCCCCTTCTAGGGTCCATCACAGGGATTAAGACCCAGTAAACTCTGAGATAGTTTTGCATCAATATATCAATAAAAAATCTATAAAACATGCAAATGTAGTAAAAGAAACTAAAACCCCAATGCTGATACAACCCTACATGTATCATTCCCTCACTTCGTCCATCTCCTTAATTGTAAATTTATTCCTCAAGTTCTAGAATGTATTCCCTAGGGCCTAAGTGCAAAGTGTTTGGAGGTTTCAAACCAGTCATGCCGGTCTCTAGTTCATTATTTCAAATCCAAAGGAGTTAAAACCAAACCAGGTGGAAAGAATTGCTTTAGCATAACACATACAGTATTCAAAAACAGTAATGATGCATTCTACTGAAGGAATTCATGAAGTCTAAGCACTCAATTACCTGAGATATGGTTCTACAGTATTCTCTATTTCGAATATACCTATGTATAATCCACAGAATGGTGAATTTAAAAAAAAATTTACTCTGAGACTGCTAAAGGCTTAGGAATTTTAGTACTTTTTCACACCATTTGTAATTGTATTGAATCACCAGTAAGGAAGAATCTTAATGGCGGAAAAGTAGTTATTCTCTTTGCTAAAGATTTGATATTAAATATGTCATTGATTGTATTTTTAGCAGCTGCCATTGACTAGAAAGAAATTTAAACTAACCCAATATTGTCAGCCACATAAGGGAACTTGACCAGGAGGCAGTAGAATGAGGAAAAATGTTTTCCTAAGTTAGGTGATATTTGCCTTCATTTGTGGTTATTCGACATGCTCATATTGGGACCAGATTGCCATAAAATGGGTTGAAGTTAAGGAATAGTAAGATTTACTATGCCAAATTATCTGCTTTGATCAGTTCTTAATGCCCTGTAATATCTGGAGAATTGTTGCTTAATATGATGAACCTGTCATACAAATAATTTTAATCTAAATTTAGAGTTACAAAGTGTTACCTGCTTGAAAAATTATTCCAAAGCTATTAAAATACTCTAAGGTTGGATAACTGCAATCTTTGTATATACAATCCTTAAAATCCAAAAATCATATTGTCGGGTGGTTCAGAGGAAAAACTTTTAGCTTATTGTAATACTATGTAGTCTCAGAAACTCTACCATAATATACATTAACACAAAGCAGGTATTATTTTTACATAGGAACACATTTATCATGGGTTAGAGGGGTGTGGTGTTTTTTTTTCTTAAATATCCACATTTATAAACCATTGAGTCATCAAAGAAAAAAATACAACTATAAACTTTATATTATCCATGATTGCAATATCATTTTCCAAATCCGTAAAAGTGTGTGTGCATAAACCCCTGCAGTCGTATTGTACTTTAGTCATGAAAAAATGAATGCACTAAAGATAATGAGTCTGTAAATAATTGTGCTTGTTTTCTAAGAATTTGGAAAGACTTTAAAAGGGTTCTGTTAAAAATGTAAAAAGTGTCCAGGGTGGCTTAATCTGGTTCCTTCTTTTTCTTTCTAATGATTTCCCTTGTGGCATTTCAAAATCCTCCCATTAACATGGAGCAGCACTTTGAAAAATTGCCTGGAGTTTTTCACTTTTGCTTTTAGATGACAGAACTGTGCATCAATAAGCTGTTGAGTTATTGAATAAAGTCTCCAAAAGCTAAAATGGAAGACTAAATGTAGCAATATGGATCTCCTGTAAGGGTGAAATTCAAAGCTGCAAAAGGTAGAAACTGCCTCTCCTTGACAAGTGCTAGGTGAGCTTAAAGAAAGGCACATTTAGAGATATTGCATAATAAGTGCATTCTCTCAGCTCTATATTTTTACTCTATGCTGACTGTGTTGCATGCTTGCCTATGGGAAAAACTGGGGCAAGCTATGCAGCAATTTAGACTAGGAGGTAATCTAAGAGGTTATTTAGTTTAACCTTCCTTGGAGTGCAGTAATATCATCTGTAGCAGTGATGCTTAAATGTTTATTTTAATAGCAGACACTTCCTTTAAAAAGAATTCTACTTATAAACAGTATGCTAAATAGAAAAAAAAGTTGAGTTACTCTGGCTGGGAAAAGCAACCATAAAATTCCTCTTTCCCACAACCTCTTCCATAGAGGTGCAGGGTCCTCAGGTCTCTGCTAAACACAGTGTGAATGTCCCCATTCTCTAACTTCCTGGAGAGGTGGCTCACCACTTAACAAGCCCACCCACTCTGATTAGGGGCAACTCTTAGTCCTAAATTGTGCTACTTACCTTGAGTCAAAAATATGTTTCACATTAATTTCCCACTAGTTTTGCCCACCAATGCTACTTATATCAATTCTATTGACTCTTCCCCACAAGAACTCTTCAAACATTTAATGCCTGGTATTAAAGCCAATGTAAACTTTTTCTTCTCAACAACTTTCAGAAAATACTGAAGCCCCTCTTATGTAAAGATAGTGTTTATTTTCTTAACACATGCCCAGCATATATGCTTTGTATGTGTTAACCTACAGCAATCCAATGACTAGATTCTATTATTATTATTTACATCTTTCAGAGTTTACTGAGGGGTCCAGGAGGTTCCTCCGGGTTATATGCCTACTAAGTGGTAAAGTCAGAGTTTAAATCTTATGTTATGCTTTTTAAATCAAATTATCATGAGTGAAAAATTCTTTATATCCAGTATTTTGGAAATAGTCTTTTATCATAAATATGTTCTGCAGATAAGTTCTTCCATTCTGTAGTCTGCATTTTCATTTTCTGTAGAGCAGATTTTCTTTACTGATACATGACTCATTTTTCTTTTATGGTTTATACTTTTTATTTTAGTTTTTAAACTAGAAGTTTTATAGGTTTGGCTCTTGTGTTTAGAGCTCTAAGCCAGTTAAAAATAATTTCTGATATGAGATAAAGATTGAGCTATTTGTTTGTTTTTCCATATAGATATTGATATATTCCACCACCGTTTCTTGTGTTGGGGCCAAGGAAAACTTACCCTTTACTCTCTGAAGGTTTCCTGAAAATCACTCATGAGAGGCAGATGAATAGGAGAAAGGCACATACATTTATTTGATTATGGTTTTACTTGACACAGGAGCCTTCAAAATGAAGACAAAAGATACAGAGGAAATTGTCTATTTCTATGCTTAGATTTAAGAAAATATGGGTAGCTGTGTAGAGATATGATTGGATAAAGAGGGTATAATCTAATGTTGATAGACTTAGTAGGGAAACCCAGCAACTTTAGTCTGTCTGTATTCTGGGGGGCCTCTTTGAGTATGAATTTGTTTTCATTTTGTAGGAGTAGGACACTCTTTGGAATGGGGATCTTATGACCAATAGTCAAACAGGGTTGATCAGCTAATGTTTTTATGGCCAGTTTTTATACAGAAAGGTGTGGGGAAAGAGTAATATTTTTAGGTTTTATGGCTGGCTTTGGGGAAAAGGGGTTCTGGTTTCTTTGACTTGCCTTGGGGAAGAAAGTTTCTAGTTTTTCTGGCTAGACCCTAAGGGGATAATAGGTTTACTTACTGCCCTCAGAGGACAACGTTCAATGATTAGCCTCTGTTTATGATATTAGTCACAAATTTCACAATGAAATTAGTTTATATTTATTGAATGTCTATGAGATGGTTAATATTGAGTGTCAACTTGATTAGATTGAAGGATGTAAAGTATTGTTTTTGGGTGTGTTTGTGAGGGTATTGTCAGAGGAAATTAACATCTGAGTCAGTGGACAGGAAGAGGAAGACCCATCCTCAATGTAGGTGGTACCATCAAATGGGCTGCCAGCGCCACTAGAAAAAGCGGGTGGAAGAAGGTAGAAGAAGCTGGCTTGCTGAGTTTTCCAGTTTTCATCTTCTCCTATACTGGATGCTTCCTGCTCTTGAACATCAGACTCCAGATTCTTTGGCCTTTAAACTCTAGGACTTACTCTAGTGGTGTGCCAGGGTCCCTCAGGCCTTTGGCCACAGACTGAAGGCTGCACTGTCGGCTTCCCTACTTTTGAGGCTTCTGGACGTGGACTAAGCCACTACTGGCTTCGGTTTTTCTCAGCTTGCAGACGGCCTATCATGGGACTTCACTATTGATTATGTAATAAATTCTCCTTAATAAACTCCCTTTCATATATACATGTATCCTATTATTTCTGTCCCTCTGGAGAACCCTGACTAATACAGTCCACCATTTACAATGAATAGTTATTTAATCCATAAAGGATCTTACCGACCACCTAACCAAATCTTTCTCTTTAGAAACTATGTACTGGGGCCAGGCATGGTGGTGCACACCTGTAATCGCAACTCTTTGGGAGGCCCAGGTGGGAGGATCGCTTCAGGCCAGGAGTTAGAGAACAGCCTGGATGACATTGAAAGACCTCATCTCTACACAAAATGAATAAATCAGCCAGGCGTGGTGGTACATGACTGTAGTCCCAGCTACTCGGGAGGCTGAGGCAGGAGGATGAATTGAGCCCAGAAGATTGAGGCTGCAGTGAGCTATGATTGCGCCCCTGTACTCCAGTCTGGGTGACAGAGTGAGACCCTGTCTTAAAAGAAACAACAAAAACAAAAACAACAAAACCCCACTAATTAACTGGATATTTTTTATTCCTAAATTTATCCTGAAGAAAGTCCTCCTACCTACCAACTCCTGTTGATGAATATAAAGCTTATGGGGAAGGGAAGAGAGAAACTCAATTGTGATGAGTTCATAGCAGATGGCACACACTGTGTCACCATATTTGCCTTCAAAAACCCTGTGAGCTGTGTGCTAACATTCCTTTCAAACAGAGAAAAGTCTGAGATGAAATTCGAGCCACCCTGTCCTCTTGACAAAGTTGTGTCACCATGACAATTGTAGACACACCTAAAATTTATTATTAGAATATTCCAAGGCTATGCATATTTAATTGGAAAGTGATATAGTAGATATTTAAAAACACATAGACATAAGAATTAGAAGACTGAGTTTTAATTTAGCCCATACCTCTTGATGTCTGTACCATGTGACAATTCACTTAATATTCATGAGTCTCAATTTTCTCCATTTATAAACGGGGTTAATTGTAACATATGTATTATTATTAGAATTAAATGTCATATTAGGCATTGGAATTATTAAAAACGTAATAAATATATACTAACCTCCTTGTCTCTTTAACTAATATATAAATATATAAATGACAGGAATGGAACAAGTAATTTCCCCCACAACAGGGTTTTCCAATCAGCAAATTTTATACATATACATAAATTATGTATAACTTACTTATAATTATATATTACATATAATTTACTTACATAATTATAAATTCTGTATAATATACCTTATTATATAGAATATATAGTTTATTACATAGGTTATATGATAATATATCAGTGATATTTATCATCTATTTATCTTTTTAGTATAAACATTTTCTTATATATTTTCAGTATATTCTGAGTTTCAAAGTCAAATAATTTGCAGATATAAAAGACAAAGTTTTATTCTCCTTGATAACTTCAAGATCCATGTTTTCTCCTGCAGAGAATCAGAACGAATATTTTGAGGACTTTATAAAGTTAGCTTTTGCAGGATCACACTTGAGAATTACCTACTATAAAATTTCTATACACACAGGTCACAAAGATCACCCACAAATCATAAAAAAAAAACAAAATTCTTTTCCAGACTATATAACTAAATCTGGCATTTGCTTGCACACTTTGTCTTTGCTGACAAATAATACACTTAGTCTCTCAATCGTAAGAAGCTCAATGTCTTGTAACTTGACTTAAACTCTCAGACTCTGTCTTGACATAGATTCTCAGTCTATGGTAGAGTAAGTTGGAGGATTAAAAAGAAATATATAAAATTAGTCATCTTTCTCCCCATCATTTATAGCCATGGAAGTTGTTTATTGTCATAGGCAGTCTTTAAATCTGAGCTTCTTTTCTCGTAAACTGGTATTTGCTCTTTCTCTTATCCTGCTATGAATCATAATGCTGTTAGTGAAGCGGTGTCGTTCGTTGTCTGGGGTAAATACCCAAGGTCTGTCGTCTCTTGCCAAGAAGATTAAGGAGACAGACAAAGAGGAGGACTGAGTTTAGGAGTGGAGGTTTAATAGGCAAAAGAAAGAGAAAGGAGAACAGCTCTCTCCCTTGCGAGAGAGAGAGAGAGAGACAGAGAGAGAGAGAGAGAGAGAGAGAGAGAGAGAGGCTTCCAAAAGGAAAATCTGGCCTCTTGTGGATCGTGCTAGACTTTATAGGCAGGCTTGAAGGGGCTGTGTCAGATTTACATAGGGTCCACAGATTGGTTCAAGCAGATGTAACTTTTACATACCACCAGGGAAGGCTGGTCACCCCACCCTAATCTTATTATGCAAATAGGGTATTTGCCTGCCTAGCGCCATATTTTCTTCTCCTTACTCTACACGCAATTTGGCAAAGAGAAGGGAAGATGGAGCAGCTATTTTGAACATGCCTAGTCCCATGTAGTATATTCCTGTGGGTACAACTGCTGTCATTCACCCCTGCAAGCTCCCAGCTTGCTTGTCTGTGTCTGCAGCTCACTTTTACAGACTGCTCTTCGTTAGGAAAGAAAATGATTTGGTGGCTGCTTTTCATTAAACGGCAGACCTTACTGAGGACTCCTATGCCCTTGCTATCTGCCTAAATAAATTCTTCTTAACTCCTACATCATTAGGTTGGTGTAAAAGTAATTGTGGTTTTTGTCATTTTAATGACCCTATCTCTAAATCTGGTCACATTCAGAGGTACTAGGTATTAGGACTTTAACATATGAATTTGAAGGGTGTGGATGAAATTCAGCCTGTAAGGGTTCCCATGTCTGTAAGGTGTTGCTGTGATTAAATGAAATGCTATTTAAGAAGGAGCTTGCTGCAAAACCACCAAATAAGGACTAAAATCATTAGCAATAATTGCTACTTCTGACATTTTATTTCAGGAGTAATGTCTCTTGGTAATTTTTATTACAGCTGTATTGACGTATAATTTTCATACCATAAAATTCACTCTTTCAAAGTGTACAGTTCAACATTTTGTTAGTATATTCAGAGTTGTTCAATCATCTCCACAATCTAATTTTAATATATTTTCATCTCTTCCTAAAGAAACCTCATACCCATTAAAAATCACTGTTCATTCCCTTCTCCCCTTAGGTACTAAAAACCATTGATCTAGTTTTCTATCTCCATGAATTTGTCCATTCTAGACATTTCCTCTAAATAGAATCTTACAATCTGTGGTCTTCTTTCACTTGGCATATCTTCAGGTTTGTTTATGTTGATGTATAAGTACGTATATTAGTCTGTTCTCAGGCTGCTAATAGACATACCCAAGACTGGGTAATTTGTAAAGGGAAGAGGTTTAATTGACTCACAGTCCCACGTGGCTGGGGAGGCCTCACAATCATGGCAGAAGGCAAAAGAGGAGCAAAGTCACATCTTACATGGTGGCAGGCAAGAGAGTTTGTGCAGCGGAACTTCACTTTGTAAAATCATCAGATCTCATGAGACTTATTTACTACCATGAGAACACTATGGAGGAAACTGCCATCATGATTCCATTATCTCTACCTGGCCCAACCCCTGACACATGGGAATTGTTACAATTCAAGGTGAGATTTGGGTGGGGACACAGCCAAACTGTATCAGTACTTCACTGATTTTTATTGCCAAATAATATGCCATTGTATGGATATACCACATTTTGTTTATCGTTTATCAGTTGATAAGCATTTGAATTGTTTCCATATTTTCACTTTTGTGAATGACACTGCTGTGAACATTCCTAAAATTGTTATATAGACATATGTATTTATTTCCTTCTCTTGGACATATACCTAGGAAGGGAATAACTGGTTCATAAGGTAACTCTATGCTTAACGTTTGAAGGAACTGCCACTGTGTTTTCCAAAACTGTTGTACCATTTTACAATCCCATTAACAATATATCAGGGTTCCAGTTTCTTTACAACCTTGCCAACATTTGTTATTGTCTATCTTTTTTATTTTAGCCATCTTAAAATAAAATAGGCATGAAGCAGTAGCTTATTGTGATTTTGGCATACATTTTCCTAATGACCAATGAGGCTGAGCACCTTTCTATGTGTTTATTGACAATTTTTATATCTTATTTGGAAGAAGATCTATTTAGATCAATTAGTCATTGTATAACAGAGTGACCTTTTGCTATTGAATTTAAGACATCTTTACATAATCTGTATGAATCTCTTATGAGACCTATGATTTGCAAATATTTTTACCTATTTGGTGAGTTAACTTTTCGCTTTCTTAATGACATTCTTTTTTTTTTTTTTTTTTGAGACAGAGTCTCACTCTGTCGCCCAGGCCGGACTGCGGACTGCAGTGGCGCAATCTCGGCTCACTGCAAGCTCCGCTTCCCGGGTTCACGCCATTCTCCTGCCTCAGCCTCCCGAGTAGCTGGGACTACAGGCACCCGCCACCGCGCCCGGCTAATTTTTTTTTGTATTTTTAGTAGAGACGGGGTTTCACCTTGTTAGCCAGGATGGTCTCGATCTCCTGACCTCATGATCCACCCGCCTCGGCCTCCCAAAGTGCTGGGATTACAGGCGTGAGCCACCGCGCCCGGCCCTTAATGACATTCTTTGGGTACAAAGTTTTCTAATTTTGATGATTGTAGATCATCTAATTTTGATTATTGTAGATCATCAATGTAGTGGATACTAATGTATTCATTTGTTGTTGTTGTTTGTGCTTTTGGCATCATATCTAAGAAAATATTCCTTATTCCAAGGACAAAAATATTTACTTTCACATTTTCTTATCAGATTTTTATAGTTTTACTTCTTATGTGTAGATCTATGATCTATTTTGAGTTAATTTTTATATATGGTATGCAGGAGGGTCCAATTTCATTATTTTGCATTTGATATTCATTTGTCACAGCACCATGTGTTTGATAGATAGTACTTTCCCAATGGAGTTGTCTTGGCATTCTTACCAAAAGTCATTTGATGATAAATTAAAAGTTTATTTCTAGAATCTTATTTCTATTCCATTGATTTATATTAGAAGTCTATCTTTTTGTAAGTACCACACCTTTTTTATTACTGTGGATATGTATGAAGTTTTAAACTTGGGAAGTATAAATCATCTAGCTTTGCTGATTTCCAAGATTGTCTCAGTTAGTCTTGTTCCCTTGCATTTTCATATTCATTTTAGAATTTGCTTGCCAAATTCTATTTTTTAAAAGCAGCTTGGGTTTTGATAATTATATTGGATCTATAGATCAACTTGTGGAGTACACCCTTTTTTAGAAATATTAAATCTTCTGATCCATAAATATGAGATGTCAGTCCATTTTTAAGTTTTCTTCAATTTCTTTCCATAATGTATTGTAAGTTTTGTTATAAAACTCTTACACGTGTTTGTTAAATTTCTTCATAAATATTTTGTGTTTATAATATTGACAATTAAAATTTTTTAAGTTCATTTTTGGATTGTCCATTTCTAGTATGTAGAAATATGTCTATTTTTTTAAAATATTGAACATGTGCCTAGCTACCTTATTGAACTTGCTTAATAACTCTGATAGTTTTCCACAGGGTTTCTTACATTTTATTATGTACAAGATCATGTCATCTGAAAGTAGAGGTAGTTTTATTTCTTTCTTTTCAATCTGGACATTTTTCTTTTTTAAAACTTGTATGATGCCCTGGATAGACTCCAGAAAAATGTTGAATAGAAGTGAAACAGACATCCTGCTTTTGTTTATTATCTTGGAGGAAGAGAAACTCAGTTACCCCATTTAGTATGGTGTTACATGTGAATTTTTCCTACATGCCATATATCAGGCTCAAGAAGTTTCCTTCTATTGCCTGTTTGTTCATAGTTTTATCATGAAAGGGTGTTGGATTTTTTCAAATGTGTTTTATGCATATGTTGACATAATTATGTGGTTTTTGTTCTTTAGTCCATTTAACATTGACGTATTACATGGATTGCTTTTTAGATGTTAAACTAACTTCACATTCCAGGGACAAATTCTATTTGATAATGGTGTATTGACCTTTGTATATATTGCTGGAATTGTTGTTCTATTATTTTGTTGAGTATTCTGCATCTATATTCATAAGGGATATTGGATTATAGTTTCTCTTAATAGAAAGAGTTCAAATTTTATGTAGATCTATATTTCCCTCTGATCACTGAGGAATCAAAAACATTTTATTTTCATTAGGGCGCAACATTGTTTCTACCTAACAAAATCTTATGCTTAATTTCAATACCCACATACCTCGTTTTATAGCACTTTGCTTTATTTTACTTTGCAGATATTGCAGATTTTACAAATTGAAGGTTTGTGACAACTCCCTCAAGGAAGTCTGTTGGTGTTATTTTTCCAACAGCAGGTACTCACTTCATGTCTCTGTGTCACATTTTGGTAAGTATCACAATATTTCAAAATTATTATTGTTATATTATTATATGATAATTTTTATATTATTATTTCTGTGATCAAGGACCTTTGATATTACTATTGTAGTTGTTTTGGAGTGTCATGAACCATATCCATGTAAGACTGCGAATGTACTAAATGTTTGTGCTCTGACTGCTCTACCGGCCAGCCATTCTCCCACTCTGTCTGTCCCCTCAGGCCTCCATATTACCTGAGACAGTTTTGAAATTAGGCCATTTAATCACCCTATAATGACCCCTAAGTATTTCAGTGAAAGGAAGAGTGGCATATCTCTCATTACAAATCAAAAACTAGAAATGACTTTCTTGAGAAAGTCATGTCAAAAGCTGAGATAGGCAGAAAGCTAAGCCTTTTATGCCATGTTGTGAATGCAAAGAGACAGTTTTGGATAGAAGATCAAACCAGCCTCAACCTTCCTTTAAGCCAAAACCTAACCCAGAGCAAGACTCTAACTCTCTTTAATTCTGTGAAGGGTGAGAGAGGTGAGAAAGCTGCAGGAGAAAAGTTTGAAGCTAGCAGATGCTGGTTCATGGGGTTTAAGGAAAGAAGCTGTCTCTGTAACATAAAAGGGCAAGATGAAGCAGCAAGTGCTGATGGAGACGCTGCAGCAAGCTATCCAGAAGATCAAGCTAAGATCTTTGATGAAGGTGGCTACTCTAAACAACAGATTTTCAATGTAGGTGAAAGGGCCTTGTATTGGAAGAAGATGCCACTTGGGACTTTTATAGCTAGAAAGAAGTCAATGTCTGACTTCAAAGCTACAAGGGACAGGCTGACTCCCCTGTTAGGAACCCCTGCAGCTGGTGACTTTCAATTGAAGCCCATGCTTATTTACCATTCTGAAACTCCTAGAGCTCATAAGAATTTTGCCAAATCCACGCTGCCTGTGCTCTGTAAATGGAACAACAAAGCCTGCATTACGGCATATCTTTTTTATAGCAAGGGTTACTGAATATTTAAAGCCCACAGTTGAGACTTACTACTCAGAAAAAAAAAATATTCACATGGTGGCTTAAATAACAGAAATCTATTTCACACAATTATGAAAACTTAAAATCAAAGGCCAGCGTGCCAGCTGATTCTTCAAGAATCTCATGAACGAGATTTCTGAGAAAGAAGGCCTTTTCACAAATACTGCTTTAATATAGTTATTTGAAACAAAATGTGGGTTTTCTTCTTTAGTTTACATCCTCTTTCCACTACAGTGTCTTGTCTTATAAGGTAGATTAAATATGTCTCTGGTATCTTCTCATTCTCCCTTCAACTTCCCTCTCTTTTGTCCTAAGTCTTAGCAACCCATTTATGGGCTCAAGTCCTATTATTTGTTCCATCCTTATCAGATCTTGCTCTCAATCTCCCAAACTATTGGTGGATTTTCAGAAATTAACCTTAGGCATAAATCTCCCAGCCATGTCTGCGTTTTGTTAGAGAATTCTTTGGAGAGAGGAAATAACTCAGCCTGCAAGGAATGAATTATAATGTCGATTTTCTGGCATAATATGCAGTGGTGGGGAAACTGCTTTTGATGAGGAATCCTGTTTATTGCTATAAAACCACACTACCTTGGGCAATGTTAAGGGTGGATCAGGTGGTGAGGTTATGTCTGTGAGTCACTTTAATGCCCCCTAGGGCTCAGGGATACTGGAGACTGTAGTATTCTCAGTCGAGGAGAATCTGATGAAGAATTAATTAGTTAGGGGAACAAAATCTGAGAGCATGAACTACACAATTCTATACTGGATGGAGCAGTGATGGGGAAAAAAATCCAACATCCTATTATCTAGTCTTACATGAAAATGTTGTCTACTTCCCTTCAATTATATGACAGAATGAGCTGAAAGCAGCAAGTTTGGGTTTTTGATATCTTTAAGTATGTTTGTTTGCCTGTTGGTTTATTACCTTCTTAGTAATCAACTCTTTGTCCTGAAGAGTAAAATTAAGAGTATTGTACATCTACAATCTAAATTCAATAATGGTTGACATACTCTATAGCATATTTTTCTTCCTGACAACTTTGCACTGTTGAAATGATTGCGGTTTTACTCTTCTAAGACTCTGTGTGGAACTCATACTTTATAAATGTGGAAACAACCTTAATTTAGAAAAGATACAAGCCAGATAATTAAGAGTACTTTACACATATCTTCCACCCCAGAATTGCAGAAAGCTACCAAAGCAATCACAACAATCAAGATAAACTCACATTATACCTTCCAGTCAGCAAATGCTTATCCCTCTTTTCAGGAAGGTAACTCACTAGCTCAAAAAGTTTATTCACTTGTACAAGGTAAAAGGAAGACACAGGACTGTGAATTTGATTTATCAAACTGATCAGAAAAAAATTCCAAATGTACTATATTCTCTGTACTGTGTTCTCTCTATATGTATAAATGTACTATATTCTCTAAGAGAAGGCAATGGTGAGAGCTTTAAAAATATAATATCTCGCTATCCTACAAGTCCAATGTTGACCACTCTAAATCACCATTTATCTAAATGTTAGATCCGTTCAAGTTTTATGTCCTGAAGGACCTTCTGATTTTGTCCATAATGGTATTTGTGACTTTATAACACTCTTATTTCCAAATGTGACTACATTTATTACCTTAGCTCTTAATATCTCTTCAAAAATAGAATCTGATATCCCAACAAATGTATGTGGTATTGCTGATTTGCTTCCAGTTTTTGTCTGAGGCCATTTCATCACATTTTTTTTTCACATCCCTCTGGCTTTTTCTTGTTTTCTTTCAAAGAGTTTAAATTTTCAGTGTTTGCATGGAGCCATATATCCCACCTTGATCCAGTCATGTAGTTCCCACTGACTTCAGTGGAAAGGCCACGGGAGGACTGAGGGCAGTATTAGCCCTGAGAAAAACTCATAAATGGACCAGCATGCCCATCTGGTCTTGAAAGCACCTTTAGAAACTGTGATAGAGATATTAGGAAAGACAGGACAGAGCATCAGAGGGATTTTCTTCTCTCAGATGCGACTAAAACAAGAACGGAGCCAAACGGCCTATTTCTTGCTTTAAGGAACGTTAGCAGCAGAATGGGAAAGACTTGAAAGAATTTCTCAGCTGCAAAATTTCACTCCAGGGACTATTTCTTTGAGTAGGCTCCGGCTACTTAAATTGAAAATGAAATTAAGCATTTTCAGAGATTTTTCTATTCCTCCCCTGCCAGCATCTCCCAAATCGCCTGCACTAGCAAATGAGATGCTTGGTAAAATATGGCCTTGAAAGACCTGCCACCCTCCTTCCTGCAAGTGGAGTGGCTATTTATTACATTTCATTCAAAGCTGTCATATACACTTCCTCCACTGTGATATAATTTGTATTTAAAAAAAAATTCTTAAAATTGGACTGATAGTGAAAACAATGACTCAGCTGAAATTTCTAACAGTTTCAGAAACAATGAGTGTAAGTGACAAGATGAGTCAACGAGGAACTCTCAGAAGTTTGAGATCGGTAACAAACAATATATTATATTAAGCACTCACATATTCATGTACCCTACCTTCCATCTAGTTGTATTTCAAGACAATGGTCCCATGTAAAAAGTCTCCCAGACCCTTTTATTGTTCTCTAATAATCTCCAATTGCATGAGAGCTGAATAGTTGATTCCTGAGCTAGTTAGAATAAATATAATGAAACAAATATTTTAAGATATATAAACGTCATCTTATATTCTCTTCTCAGTAAATACGATTTGAAAAACAGCAAGAAATCATTTTTATTTCTATGATATGAATTTCTTGTGGGGAGGCACATTTCTTTCCATAATGTTCTTTTATACTTAGAATAAAATCCAAATTTTGGAATAAAATCTAAATTTCTTACCATGACTTAAATGGATTATTTTACATGAAATGGTTCCTGGCAATTTATTCTCTATGACTTTTCTCCTTTTTAAGTCTTCTGCTAACTGATTTGCTGCTCCTCAAATAAGCCAAACTTGGAGCCTATGGCTCCATACACTTCGTTTTGAATTCTACTCAAATATCATTTCACCAGCAAAGTCTTCTCTGACTATATGATTTTAAAAAGTATATTTCTACCAACCTGTAACCCTGAGTAATATTTTAAGTAAAGTGATAAGTTCTAAGAAGACATGTGCTATTTCTGAAACCTCTACACCTAGACCAGGGTATATAGGGAAAACTTAACACATAACTGTAAAATGAATGCATTTGTGAATCTGTGAAGTCATTATTCCACTATTTCATAATCCAGGTTGGTAGATTGCTTTATGATTGGTTAGGTTAAACATTTTAGGGGCGACTACAACATTGGTGATACTGTGTGTATTTTCCATTGTTTCACATCAGAAGACATATCAGTTTGTCCTGATAATTATTAAGATGGTGATGGCCAGAACTCTCACATGAAGAGTTCTCTTTTGTCATTGTCGTTATAAGACATTGATGGAGTGATACTTTGAGATGGTGTGAATATTCTGTTCCCCAAGAAACATTCACTCAAAATGTTCAACATCTTTGACAGACCTTGCTATAATCAGTTACTATATTTGTGGTTGCAAAAGGTGGTTTATTTAACTCTGTATGTTTTAGCTAGTAGTTTTTTTGCTCTCTCTCTCCATTTTGCTTTCTCTTTTTACCTTTTCCTTGCTCTTTTCCTTTTCTTTATGGTTTCGAGCATTTCTGGGGACTCATGGAGTCTTTTGTATTTTGTTTATTGTAATCTGTTATTTTTTTTTCAGTGCTTTCATTGTCTACATTTGGCCAGTGAAAATCTCCTTTTGACATGTCCAATTAACTTACTTTCTTTTTCTCCCCTTTCTTCTCCTTCCTCTTCCTCTTCTTCTTCCTCCTCTTCCTCCTCCTCTTCCTCCTCCTCTTCTGCTTCTTCCTCCTCCTCTTCTTCTTCTTCCTCCTCCTCCTCTTCTGCTTCTTCCTCCTCCTCTTCTTCTTCTTCTTCCTCCTCCTCCTCCTCCTTTTCCCTAATAGTACAACAAGATGTTTCAAGCTCAACTTGTACTTTCTCTAACCTAGTCCTAGTATTAGGCATTTGTCCATGGCACTCTAGTTTCTAGAGAATTGTATTTATTTAGAAATCAAGATCTCAATGATTATTGTGTCTATTGTTACTGAAGTCTTTTTTTTTTTCTTTTTTCTTTTTTTTTCTTTTTTTTTTTTTGAGACGGAGTCTCACTCTGTCACCCAGGCTGGAGTGCAGTGGCACGACCTCGGCTCACTGCAAGCTCTGCCTCCCGGGTTCTGGCCATTCTCCTGCCTCAGCCTCCCAAGTATCTGGGACTACAGGCACCCGCCACCACACCCAGCTAATTTTTTGTATTTTTAATAGAGATGGGGTTTCACCATGTTAGCCAGGATGGTCTCGATCTCCTGACCCCATGATCCACCTGCCTTGGCCTCCCAAAGTGCTGGGATTACAGGCGTGAGCCACCGCACCCGGCCTGTTATTGAAGTCTTATGCTTCTAGACAACTTAACTTAGTAGAGCTAAGAAATACTGTATAAGATCACAAGATTAAACTGATACCTCCAAATCCAATCTAGTACTAAAGAGTTTTCTCCCCCTCTCCCCAATTATTTCCATACTCCTAATTTAATCACAGCAAAAATCCTGGCTCCAAACAGTAAATATAGTTATACAGGTGCTCAATTCTAAAATTTATACAAAAGCATACATAAATACTACAGCAAGTTAATACTACCATTCATAATAAACCTATTAAGTAACATTCAAAATTTCATTCAGTTTTGTTTTTCTTTAGACTATGTCTAATTCTAAATTTGTACAATTGGAGCACTATATTCAGAAATCACATATGTTTTCCAAGGATTATATTATCAATTTCATATAAAGCAAGTTTCCTTCATTTTTGTTTATATCCATATTTAGGATTTTCATGTTTATTTTGCTTTTGCTTTTATTTTTAATGTATACAATTACAACCTAGTTCACAAGCCAACATTATATAACATAGTCAGGTTTACTGGTTTACTTAGAGAAGACTTTCTCCTATCCATTCATCTCCACCATTGCCAGCTTCCCCACTCCCCACGTACCCATTTTCAATTGTTACTGGCTTATATCATAAGTTTCTTTTTGAGAAAAAAGTCAAGTTCTTATTTTCTCTCTTTTTTAAACCTACGTTTTTCAGGCTGCTTTGCTTTTTAAAACTATATTCTTATCAGTTCAGTTCATAGGATATTCTTCAATCTTTAAGCTGCTTATTACTCTATATATTTATAATATTTATTCAATCCATCTTTTACGGTTGAGCACTGAGGTAATTTTTTATATACTGCTATTCAAAAAACTGCTGCAATAAATAACCTTGTGCATCTATAGTTTTGTATTAGTGAATGTGTATTTTCAAAGTAAATTGTATTGCTGACTCAAAGGGTAAATGTAGATGTAATTGTGTTACATAGTGCCAAGCCCCCCTCCTTAATGTTAGAACATTTTGCATTCCATCAAAAATAAATGAGAGTGATCTTTTATTGACAAATGTATTTCTCATTGTTTTAACCATTTCCTATGACAGCAAGCAGAGTGTCTGCAATTTAGTGGCAATTAAAAACATGGTTTTCATTCTAGATACCTTCACCATTTGCATCTAAGTGCTTTCCAACAGGATGAGAAGAAAATTGTATATAATTTTTTTTTAAGTTTTGTAGAGCCATATTAGAGAGAGAATAAATGAACTTGGAAACATATTTGATAGCATTCTTTCAAATATCAGGCAATATTTTAAAAATTACCTGCCAATGAGTTTTTTCTCCAACCACATAGGAATTCAATAAAAATCTTAGTATTGTGGTATGTAAATCCCTGCACCTTTGATCATACATGTAAGAATATGGTAATAATCATGTGTTAATTCTAGAACCAGGATTTGAAAATAAACTGGGAAATGAGGACAAGAAATCTCCCAGGAACGCACAACCACCCTCCTACCATTTTGTTAGAGGTGACCGAGGGGACACAGGTCACAAAATGCTGCTGCTTAAGAGACTCACTTTCTATTAATGAGTGAAGGGGTAAGGCCCACATCAAGGGGCTGTTCCAGTTGAGAAGCTAACAGAGTATGTTATGCTGAGGACTAAATGCCAAAGTAAACTAAACACGCATTAAATAATAGCGCCTTCAAACTTTCGTACTGTCTCAAAACCAGGGCTAAACCCGCTTTTGAATTCCATCTCCTCGAGCAGTTTCATTTATACTTCTTAGTTGTTCTGTTGAATTATAACAGAAAAGACAAGATCATTTATAATGATATCCTAGCTGTTGACAACCTGCCATGATAAACCAATACTCCTAACATGAGTTTGCTGCATTGGTCACAAGCACTGAATAAACATTTATCAGAGTGCCTTGGATAGGTCTTTTAGTAAACAGTGGTTTAAAAACTATTTTAAAATGTATTCCTTTTGTATTTCTACTACCGTGTGAATCTGTTTTTCCATTCACATTCAAATGCTAATTGATGGTGTATATTCTTAGGAAATGTTGCTGTTGATGTTGGTTAATTCACAGTAACCAAGTGGTGCAAATTCAGATTATATGTTCAATTACTTTAGTATATTGTTTGCCTTCAGTACTTGTCATCAACCAAATGTTTTTTTGTTTTATATGTGCAATAATTTTTGTGGCAATTATGTTGCTATGAATCACCATGATATCAGCCTTCCCAAACGTTGTCCCTGTATTATATCACTTAACCCATTAATTTGTAACTTTCAAATATTATAACATTAAATGCCTTAGAACAACTTACATTTTTCTCAGTGGGCAAATAACTTAAATCTAAGGAATAGAGCAAAGTTATACTACTCTAAATAAATCCCAGTGTCATGTTAGTGGACACAATATAAAGTGAAAATAACAAAATGTAATGCATTAGCCTCCATCCTCTCCAAGGTACTCTTGTTCTGAATAGTAACAGGCCTGTTTTTCATGAAAATCTTTTTTTTTTTTTTAAAGATAATTTCTACCACAATCTTCTTCCAAAAATATTAACTTCAATCAAATTCTATTATACATTTTAACTATCAATTGATGCCTTGAAAGTAAGGTTTTAAAAAAATCTATTTTAATAAAAAAATTCACTGTATATTTTATGATTGTTTTACTATCCCTTTGCCAACAGCTCCCTCTATGTTCCACAACACAGATACTTCTTTTTCATCCTCTGGAATACACTCTTAGAAAAGAGCTTAAATAATTCAGTATTATATAGAGAACACCAGGAATATAGATTTTTTGATGCCCCTATTTTCAGAGGTGTGACTTTTTGTTTAAACTAGCCTTTTATTGTTTTTGTTCATTTTTAAAAGATTGATTCACTTAACTCCAATTTTAATTACATTTTACACATATGACTATCTTAAGTAGAAAGAACTGGGATCATGGAGGCAGACATAATATACTAACATATTTGACAAGTTTCCTTTCCCTGGAAATTATGTGTATTCCCTATTTATGTCAATATTTCACTAGTAGGATAAAATTAAGCTGGGTTGACTTTTGAAATGAAACATAGTTAAGGAGGAGGACATTTTGTTAAAACAAAGCTAAGTATCAGTTAGTGGAAAAAGCTAACAACCAACCCCAGAGGCCACCCCTAATCTAACTAAGCAATTATGGAAGGCTTACAATTTTGTGTGGGAAAAAAATACAGTTAAAACAATGATCTGTGAAATAAAATTTCACAGTTGTTTTCTTTGTGTTCAGTAGTATCAAATGCGTGAAAAAGTGACTGCCAAACCACACTTCCTGCAGCATCATTACTTACTCCCTGCTCTCTTTTCTGTGGACTTCAGAATTCTTAACACAATATTCCAAAGAGCCACAGGGTTTGCATATTAGATAAAAGCTACTAAGTTACATTAATATCTCCCCACTGGAAAATATATTTTAAAATTTTGCTGAAGCAAGTGTACTAAATTTTTGCTATAATAATTTGGAAGTTTATGCACCATGATCAAACTAGTTTGTAAAACTATTTTATACTGTATATAAATATTTTTTAATTTGTAGCTTAAAGTTAATTTCAAGCTATTCCGTCCCGTTTTATCAAGATTCCAATGTGATCTCTGATAAGGAATTTGTTCTAGATTACTTGATTACACAGAAATGTATACATTTAAACTTATATTTATATATAAATATATATGTATATGTATATGCATATGTATATTATGTATGTATATATGCGTGTATATATACACATATAATTATGTATGTATATACATATGTGTATATATGTATGTGTATACATATATACCTACACATACATAGACACACGTGTAATGATTTTTGTGGCAGTTTTATATATATATGTGTGTGTATGTGTATCTATCTATCTATCTATCTATCTATCTATCTATCTATCTATCTGTCTATCTATATGCATTGTACCTAAGTGGGATAGAAATTATAGAAAGTTGAGTATTATGAAACAAATATCTGTACCCACATGGAATGCATATTAGAACACCTCATTTTCTTACTTAAAATATTTTTCACAAAAACCTAAATTAAAGAGATATTCTTTCCATTTTAAAAACTGGTAAATTGAACATCAGAAAGTTTAGATAATTTACTTAAGTTACACAGCTAATGTATGTCAAAGTTGAAATGTGTCATACATTTGCCTGATTCCTAAGATAGGGTTCTTAACATTCCTGCGATATGGTCTCCTTTTCAAGTTGGCCCCTAAATGTGGTGCAAATGTTATTGGGAAAACACACCATACATGTTATTTGTAAACTATATGGTCTATGATCTTTGTAAATTACTTTGTTCAAACAAAATTGTACTAGAGGAAAAGACTATTGTCATGGTTACTCAAAAGGCTGCTGTCTCAAATATAAAAATGAGATTTACAAATTAAAAAATCCACATTCAAAAATCTCAAAAGGCTGGGCATAGTGGCTCATGCCTGTAATCCCAGCACTTTAGAAGGCCGAGGCAGGAGGATCACTTGAGGCCAGAAGTTCAAGACCAGCCTGGGCAACATAGCAAGACTCTGTCTCTAAAAAATAAACAAACAAAATCTCAGCAGCGAGGTCAAGAAATATGAACAGAGAATACACAGAATAAGAAATACAAAGATCTTATCAACAGAACGACACAGCAGTAGTCCAAGAACAGTAACTAAATAAGATGTTACATATTGCTTACCTACTGGCATAACATTTTTATAGATTTATAAAAGCTTGTGTTTGTGAGGATATAGAGTAAAAGAATCTCAAACAGTGATGACAGAATTATATATTATATAAACCATTTGGGAGGACTGTATATACATTTTAACTCAAGTATACTTTTAGTAATCTATCTCATAAATATGCAAGAAAATATGTACCAAGATGCATATTACAGCTTTATTTGTAAGAACCAGCTCAACTTGTTGAAATTTGGAAAATGTTTAAAGAAGATACTGATCATCCATGTTGTAGAATAAAAGAATGGAATGGGTAGTATGTAGAAACATTGAACAACATTCATAATGTTAAAAAACCAGAAATAGTCTTAATAAAGTGTATGGAATATGACCTTGTTTCAAATATTATTCACAATGGTTAGTCATAGGCAATGGGAACTGGAAAGGATAAAGGAAATATGAGGAGGTTTCCTTACATTGAACTCTATTCAATTCTGTATTTTAAAAACTTTCAAATATATATATTTTCTATTTGTTAAAAATCAATAACTTTTTTAAGTTTTTTTTCCCACTGGAGAATTTGCCTCTTCCCCTGAGCTAACAGTAACATAGGTAAAGCAAAAAAGTTCAAAAGAAAGCAACAAAGTTAGGTATACTTTCTACTTATTCTAAGTTATATCTGTTTATCTAAGATTACAACAGAACAGAAGCAAGTCCTGTTTAGAAAAACATCATGGCAGTGTGAATTTGAAAGCATTGCTTCTCCATAATACAAAATAAGTGACATTGTATAATTAAGGAATGTAAGTTTAACATATAACAGATAAAGTACCTTTTTGGAAGTGAAAATGCATTATCATCTCAACCACAGGAGAATATGTAATTCAAGTGTTGTAGGGAACTCTAGAAAATTAATTGATATTTGAGCTATCACCAACGTAAATAAAAGAATAACTTAGTTACAAAAATAAAACAATCAAGGCACACCTAAATGCTAAATTTCTTTACTTCTTTTATTAATCCTATCTCTTCTTCATTCCTTTCATACATAACATTCCAAAGAAATGTATGCCTTCTTAAATCTCAGGATTTCCTCAAGAGGCTCCTCTGTCTAGAGACTCTTATGCTCCCCTGACAACTCTGTTAGTAGTCGTTTTCCTCTAGGTTAGGCTACCTAGAGGAAAATGATTCTCAAATTCTCAGGGGCTTACAATTAACACATGTTTATTTTTTGCTCCTGCTCTATGAGGGCAGTTGTCCTGGGTCCTGTGGGTTTGCAGGCAGGGATCCACATGTTTTAGCATTTCAGAATCCAAGCAGGAGGAATTGCCACTGCATGGAACATGCTGTTCTCACAGTTGAGAGCGGAAGTGAATAAGCCTCCAGATTAAATAATAGCATTTAAAACTTTTGCTTTGATGTAGCAAATGTCATGCCCACTCATCCCATTGGCCAGAGTCTGTCCCATGACCCAGGGAAGCCACTGACTGAGAAATCATGAAAGGCAGGGAAGATTAGTATAATTATGAACATATCTTGCTATCTATTGTTGTTACTGAATTATGATAGAACAAGTTGATCACACTTTTGTTATTTTCTACTTTTTTCAGTCTCTTAAAAGGTATATATAAATCACCCCAGTGGTCAAGGGGGTAGCCTTGGCCGGATGAAGCACACACATGATGCACACACAAATGCAAACACCCACAAAGTCAATACACAGTCATCGGGAGCCCATTTCCACCTTTAGCATGACTAAGATGTCGAATAACAAACATCCAGACACCTAAAGGATGCCTTTTATTCAAAGCGTTGGTAGCAGAGATTAACTAGAGGCAAGTATTAAATGAACTCAGTTTGTGTTCAGTGAATAAGGAGTTGGAAGGAGACTCATCTGCAGACGTTATCTCTTGTGAATCCAGGCTTGTTTTTAGCCTGCCTGTAAATCCTCAGCTACAGTCACCATTTGCTGTATATTTCTTGGTATAGCTATCATTACCCATTTTCAATGTGAGACAACTTGCATATCCCACTGATAACTGAAACACAACTGTCAAAAACAAAAATTTCAAACCTAAATAGTGAATATAAAAAATTGCTGAATGGTATCAGTATTTTAAATTACATAATGAATTACAGTTCAGTGTCATACATTTGTCTTTCTCATTCTCCTTGACCTAAGACCAATGAATTAAAACTTAATTGTGACTATAAAACATATGAAAGGGTTCAAACTGGAGATTTGAACGAATCCAACACCTTAAGCTTTTAATTTAAATAAGCAGAAAAAAATTATACAGATGAAAAGGGCTGCTGATACCAAAAAACTTCCCCAGCAAAGTAAAACTTTGAAAGTTTAATTTTCCAGAAAACCGTGACAAAAAACGGAAGGCTTTGGGGATATCAGTAAAGCAGGGGGAGTCTCTTACGTTTTCTGTTTTCCCTTCTGTGGCTTACACTGTGTTAAGAATGATAATCAACTTTAGTAAATATTCAGAAGCCTACTGAAATGAATGTGAAAGAGAAATGACATAGTTAAAACTTATATTAGTTGCCCTAAAGGAATTAAAGTTTAATATGACATTTATTGATCAATAAATGCTGACTGGGAAATTATCTTGGAATTGAAAATGATTGTTACTTCTTCCAATTCACTTAATTCATATAGCTTGGACTGGTAGTAGATATGAGAGGTCTGATGCCTGGCTAGAAGCAACAATGTGGAACCTCATCATTAAAAACTGTTGAGGCTCAATTTACGTAGCTGTATCTTCAGCTTTTGTTTACCTGAAAGAGAAATCAATTCTTTCTGAGTTATAGGGAAGGAGAAAAGAAGTTAGCCTCATATATCTCTTCAGAAAACTTGCTTCTGTGATCTCCTCAAATACTGTGAGCTGTGACCCACCCCTACACCTTCCCCCACACAAGTCACATGGCACAGCAAGGGTGAAACCAAAGTCAGGGTTATAATGAGAGATCTAGCGGGATTTTTTTTAGATGCAATTACACGTGCAAGTGAAATCAAGATGTTACACTTAAACGGTAGAAGCACCACATTCAAAGTCCAGAAAATAAGACCAAAACAAACCATAAGAATCAAAAGTTGAAGACAAGAGAAGGAAGTTGAGTGGAGCTTAATGTAATTTGTTGAGTATGCACTTTCCTTCTCTTGGGCTTTTTTTTTTTTTTTTTTTTTTTTTTTTGAGATGGAGTTGCGCTTTTGTTACCCAGGCTGTATGTAGTGCAATGGGGCAATTTCGGCTCACCGCAACCCCTGCCTCCCGGGTTCAAGCGATTCTCCTGCCTCAGCCTCCCAAGTAGCTGTGGTTACAGGCGTGCGCCACTACACATGGCTAATTTTGTATTTTTGGTGGAGACAGGGTTTCTCCGTGTTGGTCAGGCTGGTCTCAAAATCCTGACCTCGGGTGATCCACCTACCTTGGGTGATCTGCCCGCTTCGGCCTTCCAAAGTGCTGGGATTACAGCCGTGAATCACCACTTCCGGCCGGGCTATTTTTAATAAAACCTATCTAAACTTTGCTACTCAAACTGAAAAGCCTCTTAAAATTTATTGGGACTTCCTCCCAACAATTTAGCTAGGGTGATTCAGCAATAGTAGAGGTAGAATCAGACATAAGTGGATTGAAGTGTACACTTCAATTTGAAAATTGAAAAACAAGCAAACATGGAACACGTGAATGTAGAATACTCTTCTGAGTGGTTTAAATAAAAGGAAAAGGGAAAGTTTTATTTACGTGTGAAATTGAGAACAGTGCCAAGTTTTGTGGCAGGCACACACTTATAAGACGTTTCTTTTAGAATAGAAGGGATATAAAACCTGGGACTAGGCTAAGAGAAAAGATGTTTGAGAAGGAGACTTAGAAGATGTAGGAAAAAGGAGAGATGTGCTGATGAACTATGCCCTTGGCTTCTGTCTGCTTCTGGGGTCAAAGATCACGAAGCCATATTTGGTGTCTCTTTGTGATTTACAATCCACCATATCTGGTACGTCAGCAATTATTAGTGTTACCTTCAAAATAGATCCTGAATCTTACTACTTCTCACCACCTCCACTGCTAACATTTTAGCAATACCAACATCATTTCTCCCTTTGACTAGTGCTGTAGCCTCTTCAGTGACTTCTGTATGTCTGTGCTTAGCTTTCGCAGATCTTTTACTCCATATATGGTCTCAGCTAAAGTAGATCCTGTTACTTCTTTTTTCAAAACATGCAATGGCTTCGCATCATACTTAGAAAAAACCAGTTCACTAAGGCAATATAATCCCTGCTCATCTCTCCAGGTTCTTTTTGTTTTAACCCTACCCGCCCTCCCTTACTTTACTCAAGCCATACAACCTTTTTTAATATCCCTTGAACATGTCAACTACATCTGCCTTAGTCTGTTTAGGCTGCTAAATAGAACAGCATAAACTGGATGGCTTATAAACAACATAAATTTATTTATTACAGTTCCAGAGGATGGGGATTCCAAGATCAAGGCACCAGCAGATTCTGTGTCTGGTGCAAGCCAGCTTCTTGGTTCATAGATGATGACTTCCTGCTGAGTGCTCACATGGTGGGAAGGGATTAGCTAGCTCTGTGTCCTCTTCATAGAAGGGCACTAGTCCATTAATGAGGATTCCATCCTCATGACCTAATTACCTCTTAAAGGGCCCTCTTCCTAGTACCATGACATTGGTGATTTGATTTCAACATATGAATTTTAGGTGCACACAAACATTCAGATCATAGCAACTTCTTAACACAGACCTTTCACATTTGCTAGTCCAAGAGCCTGTGTAGCCTCATAACTTATCCCTCCATTCATTCAAGATTTTATACAAATAGGTTTTCAGAGAGGATTTCTCTGATCAGAGAGGCTAATCTCTATCATCTTACACAGTTTTATTTTTTATAGTACTTATCACTACCTGACATTTTAATGTATTTATACTGTAACATGATAGGTATTTACTATACTATGTGATTCTAATAAGAGCAATACACTTTTTTGTTTGGTATTTGACCAAATGCTCTGTGCCTAGATGTTTATGCAATAAGGAGGCTACCTTAAAGAAAAAATAAAAATCCAAATAAAATGTTATAAAAATAAATATGTACTTAAAACAAAAATGTAAAGGACAATCTTTTCTATTTTTTTTTTTTTTTTTTTTGCTGGGTTCTATCAATGTCTAATTTATGAGCTATAAAATTCACTAATTTTAAGTGCATCATATGAATTCTGACAGTTGTAAACTCTCCCAACACCCAGCACAATCACAATATAAAATGTATATATCACCCCCCCAAACTCTCTTTTATTGTCAATCACCTCCCCCAACTCCCAGACCATAGCAAACACTGATCAGTGGTCACTCACTACAGTTTTGCCTTTTCAAGAATTTCATCTAAATGAAATCAAATAGTTTGTAGAGTTTTATGACCGTCTTCTTTACTTAGCATATTCAAGATTAATCTATATTGTGGCGTAGATGAGTTGTTCTTTCCTTTTCATGGATATTCATATTTCATTATATGCATATACCATGTTTTTTTTTTTTTTTGCCACCCCTCAGTTGGTGGGCATTTGAAAACTTTCTAGTTTAAGGCTGTTACAAAGTACCATTGAACATTCATGTGTGAGTCTTTGTAAAGATAAACATTTTCATCTGTGGAGTTGTGCGGCTGTGTCATATGATAAATGCATGTTTAACATTATGATAACATCCAATTGTCTTCCAAAGTGGTTGCATGATTTTGCGTTCATCCTAGGAGTGATTGAGTGTTACAGCTCTACTGTGTCCTCACCAGTGCTTGATGTGGTTAGCCTTTATAGTTTTTGTCGTTCTAGTAGGTATGTAGAGGCTCACTGTGGCTTAAATTTGCATTTTTCTTATGACCAATGATGTTGAACGTTTTCCCTATGATATTTGCCATTCATTTATTTCTTTGATGATGGGTCTATTGAAGTCTCTTGACAATGCTAGTATTAATATACATAAATATAATAGTCTGTTATATATCTAGAAACATGTCTCTTTATCAGTATATATTCCATGAATAATTTCTCTCTGTCTATGGCTTGGGTCTTTTACTGTCTTAGCAGTTTCTTTTGAAAATAGAAAATAATTTAAATTTGATAAAGTAAATTTTATCACATTTTCTCTAAAAGAAATACATCTAAGTACAATGCCTAATACAATGTTCCAAGTAATTTCTCATATGATTTTTCTAGATGTTTTACAGTTCTAGCTCTCATATTTAGAAATAGGATCTTGAAAATAATTATTATATGTTTTTAGGTAAGTAATAAGTCTTGATTACTTTTCTGCCTATGATTATTCGGTTTTCCCAGCATTATTTGTTGAAGGATTACTCTTTTCTCATTGAATTGCCTGGGTACTTTTGTTGAAAATCAAATATATGGGTGGGTCTGTTCCTGGACTTTCTATTCTGTTCCATTGATCTATTCATCTATCTTATTCTCATATCACACTGTTGTATTTATTGTTACTTTATAGAAAATCTTGAAATCACATAGTTTAAGTCCTCCCTCTTCATTCTTTTAAATATTTTTCTGTCTTTTAATTTTCAATATGTGTTTAGAATCAGGCTGTCAATTTATTTTTTTAAAAAAGCTCATTGCAATTGATTGGGATGATTTTGAATCTATGGATTTGGTGCTTTAATATTTGGTCTCCCAATCCATAACATGGCATATCTCTATATTAATTTATCATTTAATTAATACCTCTCAGCAATGTTTTGTTGTCAGTGAAGAGATCACATATATAGCTTGATAATTTATCTCTATGTGTTTAATAGTTATGGATGCTATTGTAAATGGTATCTTTAAACATCAGTTTCTGATCTTTCATTGCAAGTATACACAAATGCAATTTATTGACATTGTATTCTACTAGTTGACTAGTCTAAATGTTTTCTAGAACCTTTTTTGTAGATTTTGTAGGATTTTATTCATAAATAATAAACATAGTTTTACTCTTTGTATTAGTTTCTGAGGGCTGTCCTAACAAAATACCACAAGCTGGGTGGCTTAAGACAACAGAAATTTACTGTCTTACAGCTCTGGAGGCTAGAAACCCAAAATCAACCTTTCAGCAGGGTTGGTTCTGCCTAAGAGCTGTGAGTCCCAGGCATTCCTTGGCTTCTAGAGTCCTCATTCCAATGTTTTGTCTTCACATGATCATCTTCTTATAAGGACAGCAAATTGAAATAGAGGTCTACCTTAGTCCAGCATAATCTCACTTCAACTAATTACACCTGCAATTACCCTATTACCAAGTAAGATCACATTTCAAAATACAAAGGAGTTTAGAATTATTTTTCATTCTCAAATTTTATTTTCTTGTCTCATCAGTATCTTAGAGTTTAAGATGTCCAATTGACCCTTGAATAATGCAGGGATTAGAGGTGCCAATGCCCCCTTACAGCTGAAAATTCACATGTAACTTTTGACTTTTCAAAAACGTAACTACTAATAGCCTGCTATTGACCTTACAGATAACAAACATATGATTAACACATATTTTGTATGTTACGTGTATTATATACTGTACTGTTACAATAACGTAAACTAAAGAAAATGTTATTTAGAAAGTTATAAGGAAAATATATTTACTATTCATTAAGTGGAAGCAGATCATTCTAAAGGTCTTCATCCTTTTTTTACATTGAGTGGGCTGAGGAAGAGGAAGAAGAGGAAGGGTTGGTCTTGCTGTCTCCGGGGTGGCAGAGATGGAAGAAGATCCACACAGAAATGGATCCGTGCAGTTCAGCTCTGCTTTGTTTAAGGGTCAACAGTATTTATCACTAGCTATTTTAATGTAAATTTTGTCTTTTCTCTTTAAAAATTTTCAGTGAAGGGATCATATTTTTCTTTCTCTCCATGGGATTTAGTAGCTCACTCGTTACATGGTGTGCAGTCGATGTACTTGTTGATGGGGTAATGGAGAAATGGACAGGTGAAGGTAAAGAACCACTGCTTTAGCCCTATAACTAGTCCTAAGTGTCATTGATTTATATTGAATACTGGAAGAAAAAAATGTTATAATAATGTGATTGTCATCAGAATGATGAAATAAGTTGGAGTCTTGAAGGTATATGAGCATTTTTGGCACAAACGGTCTCTTCCTATTCAACTCAATCATTTAAGGTTTGCTAAACTCTGTTATAGGAAATAGACAACATTGGAAGACCAATTCATACACAAACGCTAACACATTTTACAAAGCAAGTCCTGGTATTTTTAAAGCTTTCTGGGCTTCTAATGTATCCATGCATCATTCTCTCCTAGACATTTTACATCACAATATCCTTTATTCTTTCATTGTGAGACTATTTGTAACACCCCTAATTTGGTGCTGTGTCCTTTAATCTATTGTTCTCAGTATTTTCACATTATAATTTTCTGCTCCCTTTTCTCCTTATTATATTAGTCGATCTTCCTACATTGGTGGACTAAAACCATTATGCATGTGAAATTTATAGCAATTACTGCTTTGAGTGTTAATAAGTATTTATTCTGGCTTTATTAGGAATAATGTTATGATGATGAGTTACAGAAATGTGTGAATTGGTAATAGGGCCTTACAAAATAAAGCATTTGAAACTATTGCCAAAAGCAAAAGTAAACATAGCTAGTTTCTTTTAAAATTCCTTGCTAAAATAAACATATAAAAGTTGTTAAATAAAAGTACTAAGGCAGGTTTTCAGTTACAGTGACAGAGAAAGATTTTTTAAAATGATATTCATGCTATCATTTCTGAGTAAAAATTGTTCTAAAACCCTGAAATGCACTTTTATTGTGTTTGCTTTTCTTTAACAGAATATTCCACAGCCCTAGCTTAGAATAACTATGGTTCTTCTTCTTTCCCCTAGAGATACTAGACAAATGGCTCTAACAGACAGAAGCAGTTTGTTCCATGACCTAAGACCATGCTCAGATACACAGGTTACCAAAAAGGTCATACTTACACCCAGGTACAGGACTTTCAGTCATGTATGTGAATAGCAATTGGTCTCAGAATCAATAAAAGGCAAGGCTGGTGACAAAGGTGATGGAACTGGAGGATAATAACATGATGACCAGCCTTAGAACAAGTCAGCTGTTGTATATGAGAATTTCCGTTCAAATGAAGTGTTTGATTAGGTAGCCTAGTTAGACCCCAGTGGCAACCAGGATGCCAAGATATCTGTCAATAAGCATGAACATCTCCAATTTCCAAGAATACTGTGACAAAAGACACACAATGCTTGTTCAATTACTGAACTAGATAATGGTTTTAAAATTTTGAGCTAAGAAATTAAAATCTGGGAGATTTCTACTTTGTCCTTTGCTACCAACTACTATGAGGTCTTCATTGAGCATTCGAACCTCATTGTATATTGGTTTCCTAATGTGTATGATGAAAATGATGATGTTGAACAATTCCTGAGGGCCTGGCAATTAATTAGCATTTATAAAATGCTTTAAAGAGAGGTGCCTGTGAGAGCAAACTATTTAATGTAAACCAATAGAAGGCTGATGAGCACACCATCTGAATGTGAGCTCTGTATCCACTGAAATAGCTGGAACTGATAAAAGTGACAGTTGGAACTTAAAAATAAGTTTTAAAATCCTGCAATTAATCTAGAATTCTCAGGACTCACAGATAGCTAATTATCATGACTTTGCTCTTCAAAGCACATTGTAACAAGCTCTAAGTTTTATTCTGATCATTCATTTCAGTGGTTTGGCTTCTGTCCATAAAAGAAAGAGCAAAATAAAAGATCATCCAATCACTCAGCTGCAATAATCCTTGTATCCACCAACAGTGATTTAAAAATATGTATTTGAGAGAAAGTTAAGCAGGTGGAAGAAGAGAAATTGATTTGAGTGATAAACAGGTGGACCAAAAGAAAAAAAAAAATAGGAAGATGACTTCCTGTTTCAGACAGAAGGGTGGTATATAAAGGGTGGAAGAGCTGGCACCAAGCTTAGTGATTAACACACACACACAAACGTGACACACTGTGAGTCAGCAGGTTGGGTCCAAATAGCCTGAGAAAGAACATTCTGTATATACCCTGCCTCTCTTCCACATTGTCTTCAGTAAATAATTGCCTGCTGCTTTGCCACCAGGGAGAAGGGAGGCAACAACACCACCTAAAAATGAAAGCAACCTCAGAGGCGCACCATCCGCAGCCTGCAGGAGGGCAGTGCTTATGGCCACAGGCAGGTGGATTGACTGACCCTGACAGTACCCTCCTGCCTTCTTCGGCATTTCAGACATGCAGGCTCTTTTCAAAAATAGGTCTCACAGCCACATCAAAAAGTCGTTTGTGTCTTGGGAAGAGTCCCAAAAGCCATTCTTTGATCAAAGAGGATGGGGTAACCTGAAGAGTGGGTGAATAGAAATTAACTCTTTTTTTTTTTTTTTTTTTTTTTTTTTGAAAAGGAGTCTCGCTCTGTCGCCCAGGCTGGAGTGCAGTGGCGGGATCTCGGCTCACTGCAAGCTCCGCCTCCCGGGTTCACGCCATTCTCCTGCCTCAGCCTCCCAAGTAGCTGGGACTACAGGCGCCCGCCACTACGCCCGGCTAATTTTTTGTATTTTTAGTAGAGACGGGGTTTCACCGTTTTAGCCGGGATGGTCTCGATCTCCTGACCTTGTGATCCGCCCGCCTCGGCCTCCCAAAGTGCTGGGATTACAGGCGTGAGCCACCGCGCCCGGCCGAAATTAACTCTTTCAGCCTGGAGTCAGACTCCCTTCTACCACATCCATTCTTGAAAGCCAAGAGAAAACATTGATTTCCAGGGCAGCTCGGGGGCCTAAGAGAAGAAAGGTTTATAAAGAAAATGTGCAGTGTAACTGCAGGGTTTATGCACGATAAAGCAAAGATCACAAGTGGGGTTGCCCCTGCCAGGGTAACCAGAATACATAAAATAAAACAGGAATCTAGCTGGGTGCCATGGCTCATGCCTATAATCTCAACACTTTGGGAGGCCCTAGTGGGAAGATGACCTGAAGCCAGGAGTTCAACACCTGCCTAGGTAATGCAGTGAGAACCTCATCTTTAAGTTACAAAACAAGCCAGGCATAGTGGCCCACACCTGTAGCTCCAGCTATTCAGGAAGCTGAGGTGGAAGGATAGCTTGAACTCAGGAGGTCAAGGCTGCAGTGAGCCATGATTGTGCCACTGCACTCCAGCTTGGGCAACAGAGCAAGACGCTGTCTCAAAAAATTTTTTAAAAAGAAAGAATCTAAAGTAGCATGATAAATCTTATCAAAAAGATAAAAGTTATTACAAATACTAAGCAGAACTGAACTGAAAAAAGAAGTGAAATGGATATAAAAAGTATAAATGTCAAAATATATGAAATAAATAACATATAGGAGGCACTGAATAGAAGAGTGCATATACTCAAAAAATAAGGTAGTGACCTACATCAAACACACTCTCACAAAAGACATCGGAAATAGATGAAAAGATAAAAAGAATGGGAGACAAGTTAAGAGACATGATAAAGTAAAGTAAAAGTAATGTTTCATTCAGGGAGCTTGAAGTAGTAAAGAGAGTAAAAGGGAAGATAAGAAATATTTAAAAATATGAAACTAAAGAAATAAGTAGCATCATATTGAAAGGGTTCAGAGTGCTAAAGATAATTGCTAGCACAAGACACATTCTAGGGAAATGTAAGCACACAAGTCCAAGATATATATATATATATATTTTTTTTTTTTGAGACGGAGTCACGCTGTCACCAGGCTGGAGTTCAGTAGCACGATCTCAACCCACTGCAACCTCTGCCTTCCAGGTTCAAGTGATTCTCCTGCCTCAGCCTCCCGAGCAGCTAGGACTACAGGCGCGTGCCACCACACCCAGCTAATTTTTGTATTTTTAGTAGAGACGGGATTTCACCATGTTGGCCAGGCTGGTCTCGGTCTCCTGACCTTGAGATCCACCCGCCTTGGCCTCCCAAAGTGCTGAGATTACAGGCATTAAATTGGTATATTTAAACATTCACATTAAAACTTCTTATCGATATATTTGGTTTAATATCTTTCATGTCTTTAACTGTTTTCTTTTTGTTACATCATTACACTTGTCCTCTGTTTTTCTCTTTTCCTCCTTTTCTGCTTTCCCTGGTTTTAAGTGAATATCTCATATGCTCTAATTTAACCCCTCTCATAGCATATCAATTGTTCCTTTAAAAAATTTGTTAGTGTTTGCCCATGAGGTTCTAATAGACATTGTTAAGTCATCTAAGTCCACTTTAAAGTAACGATATAAGGTTTCACGTTTCCATCATTTTCATGGAGAATTCCCAGTTATTCCCATCCATTATGACATTGCTGTCTCTAATTTCCCTTTTCCAGATGCAGTAGTCACACAATATATAGTTGTTATTATGACTTTTTAAAAAAAGGGTTCAGATGAATTAAGATTTAGGAAAACAAAATACTTTATTTTTTCCTCATTCATTTCTTCTCCAACAGTCTTCTATTTATTTATTTATATAAATCTGTGTGGTCTAAATGTTTACGTTCCCTCAAAATTTGTATGTTAAAATCCTAACCTCCAAGGTGATAGTATTAGGCAGAGGGGACTTTGGGAAGGTAATCGGGTCATGACGGCAGCGCTCTCATGAATGGGGTTTTTACCCTTATAAAATAGGCCAAGGAGGCTCCTTCCTCCTTCCCCCTTGTGAAGATACAGCTAGAAATTGCCATCTATGAAATAGAAAGCAGGCTTTCACCAGACACCAAATCGGTGGGCACCTTGAATTTGGATGTCCCAGACTTCAGAAGTGTGAGAAATAATGTTTTTTGTAAGCTACACAGCTTATGGTAGTTGGTTATAGCAGCTGAAATGGACTAAGAAACTAATTTTCTGACTTATTTTCTGATTATTTTTCAATGCTTGAAGAACTCCATTAAATAATTATCTGAATATTTCCCTCAAGGAAGATCTGATGGTAATAGAGCCCCTGACTTTTTGTTTGTCACATAATATCTTTATTATTCCTTGACTTCTGAAAAATGATTATTTTCTGGATACAGAAGTCTATGTTGTTGTCTTTTCTTTTTCTTACAACAATTTAATATTTCACTTTGCTCTCTTCTTGACTGCATGGTTTCTGGTAATAAGTCCAACATATTCTTTGTCCTCTATAGATAATGTTCCCCTGGGCTTCTTTTAAGATTTACTCCTTGTCTTTGGTTTTCTGTAGTTTGAATACAACAGGGCGAGGGGGAAGGTTTTTTTAGTTATTTATTTTAAATTCTGCTTGGTGCCTAATGTTGTCTGAGTTCCTTGGGTCTGTAATTTTGGAAAATAGTTGGCTGTTAATACTTTAAGTCTTCCTTCCTGCCCTCTTCTCGCTATTTCTTCTCTGGTATTTCCAGTGCACGTATGTTTAAATTCTGAAGTTTTTCACAGTTCTTGGGTGTGTCCTGGATTTTTAAAATTCTTTCATCCTGTTGCATTTCAATTTGGGAAGTGTTTATTGGCATATATTTTAGGTCATTGATTCCCCCTTTAGTATGTTTGCTGGAGCTACAGTCTACCAGCAGAGGAGCACAGCAAAGGCAGTCTTCATTTCTACCACTGTGTTTTTATTTCTAGCATTTCCTTTTTATTCTTAAAGTTTCTATCTCGATTCACATTATCCATTGTTCATCCTTGTTGTCTACTTTTTCTGTTAGCCTTACTATATTAATCATAATTATTTTAAATTCCTTCTCTGCTATTTCCAATATCTGTGTCTTACCTGTGTCTCATTCTGGTGTTTGTTTTATTAATTTAGATTGTATTTTTCCTTCTCGTTTCTAGCAAGTGCTGTAATTTCTTGTTACAAACTGGACATGATGTGTCATGTTTTTGTAATGAAGGTAAGCAGTCCTTTAATGTGAAAGTTTATGTTAATTTCTAGGATTTAGATTGTGTATGATGTTTGGTGGAGCTCTAGGTGCCAGAGGCCTCAGTTTCCTCTGTGTCTTTATGTTACTGTCTTCCAGCTTTTTCACCTGTAATCCATTATGATCATACTGAAGCCTTAGTGATGTGTTGGTCAGGTGTGAGGGAGGGAAAGTATACTGTATTCCTATGATTCCGTCTGTCTCTTGGTTATGACATTCACAAATGTTATTTCATTGCTATAGCTTTTGTGGCAGGAATGGGTTAGCCCTTAACCCTTACTTACTGGGATAAGGCTCTCCTATATCTTTTCCTCTGAAGAATAGGTCTTTGTTATGGAGAATGCCTGGGGCATAACCACAGTGATTATTCTTCTCCTCTTCTGCAAGATCCATGAAATAAACATTCTTGGATCTTTACCATTAGAACCTGGTTGGGTTTCTCAAAATAAAACCTATGAAAGTGTGGAATCTTCCTATGACCTTGTCCTGCCAGGAGCTTCTCCTTCTTATCAGTTAACCGTCGCCCTGCAGTAATTCATCAAAACTATCATCTTAGTGTTCCTACCCATTCGTGGGTGCAATGAAATCTGTCCCAGGTAAGCAGATCTCAGCTGTGACTTTGGATTTGTCTGTTTCTCTGGATATTTAGGTGAGAGCTTCTCTAGAAACTTAGGTGAAAGGATAAAAATATTTGTATAAGCAATAATTGAAAATGTATATAACTCATTATATAGATTATAATGAGTAGTCATTATTTTGAGGTACCACAAACAATGCTCATAACAGGCAGTGAACTTAATAAATGTGTGTATTTTCACAGCTTCACCATCAGCCTTTCCCAATCCTCTCTGTCTCTCTCTCTCTGTCTCTCTCTCTCTCCTGGGGCCTCCCTATTCCCTGAGACACAATAATATTAAAATTAGCCAAATTAATAATCCTACAACAGTCTCTGTGTGTTCAAGGGAAAGGAAGAGTCACATGCCTCTCACTTTAAATCAAAAACTAGAAATGATTAAAGAAAAATGAATAAAAATAAAAATAAAAATGTGTCTCATAAACAAATTTTAGGCCCAGATAATTTTGTAGAGCAGTATAATAGTTAACAAAAGAGTATAATATCTTCATAGTATTTAGATTTTTCAAAATTTAAAATAAAAGAGAACAAGTGTTTCCAACTAAGGGAATTAGACTTTTACAGATTAAAAAACCACATAAGGTAAATATTAAAATATAGGTTAAATATAACCTAAATATAGGTTAGCTTCAAATATGACTACTTAAAAATTCTAAAGATGTGTAAATTAACAAAACCCAACAGTATATTAATATACGTCATGATAAAATTGGGTTTATCCCAGAAAATTAGGCTTGAGGGGATACCTAAGCCTAATTAGGCTAATTAGGGGGACCACCCTTTCCACTGGCTTTGTGTGTTCATGTGGATGACTGTTCACTAAGATGACATTCCTAATCCTCTCTATCTGACCCTCCTGGGTTATTATTTATGGGATATGAAACTTCAAAAAAGTAACTGAGCATGTTCTTCTCAGGCAACTTGTGTGACTGTTCATTTGGTGGATTTTTCGGAGCTCCGATTTTCTTTCTGCCATTTGATAAATTCTCTGTAAAAGAGGTATAAACATTTTGACAGTGGCTCTGTGCCAGTGACTCTGTGCCAATGACTCTGTGTGTAAATCTGTCTATTTTAGAAGTAAAGTAATAGAAATGCATTGTTACTGTGCGTGTAAGCTACATACAGCCATACCTCATTTTATTGTACTTTGCTTTGTTGTGCTTCATAGATGTTGCATGTTTTACAAACTGAAGATTTGTAGGAACCCTGCATTGAGCACATCTGTGAGCACCATGTTTTCAACAGCATGTTTTCACTTCATATCGCTGGTCCCATTTTGGTAATTCTTACCATATTTCAAACTTTTTCGATATTATTTTATATCCAATAAGGTGGTCTGTAATCAGCAACCTTTGATGTTACTATTGTCATTATTTTGGGGTGCTACAAACAATGCCCATAACAGAGAGTGAACTTAATCAATAAATGTGTGTGTTTTGATAGCTCCACCATCAGCCTTTCCCCCATCTCTCTCTCTCTCTCTCTCTTTCTCCTGGGGCCTCCCTGTTCCTTGAGACACAACAATATTAAAATTAGGCAAATTAATAACCCTACAGCAGTCTTGAAGTGTCAAAGGGAAAGGAAAAGTCACATGTCTCTCACTTTAAATCAAATACTAGAAATGGTTAAGCTCACTAAGAAAGGCACGTTGAAAGCTGAGATAGGCCGAGAGCTAGGCTTCTTGCAGACAACAGCCAATTGTGAATGAAAACAAGTTCTGAAGAAAATTAAAAGTGCTGTTCTTGTGAACACATGAATGATAAGAGAGCAAAACAGACTTATTGCTGACATGGAGAAAGTTTGAGTGGTCTGGATAAAAGAACAAAGCGGCCACAGAACTCCCTTAAACCAAAGCCTAATCCACAGCAACGTCCTGACTTTTTTTCAATTCTATGAAGGCTGAGAGAGGTGAGGAAGCTGGAGAAGGTAAGTTAGAAGCTGGCAAAGTTTGATTCATGAGGATGAAGGAAAGAAGCCATCTCTATAACATAAAAGTGCAAGGTGAAGGAGCAAGTGTTGTCACAGAAGCTGCAGCAAGCTATCTGGGAGATCTAGCTAAGACAAGGTGGCTGGACTGACAATAGATATTCAATGTAGATGAAACATCCTTCTATTGGAAAAAGGTGCCACCTAGGACTTTCATAGCTAGAGAGGAGAAGTCAATACCTGGCTAAAATGCTTCAGAGGACAGGCTGACTGTCTTATTAGGGGTTAATGCCCCTTGTTATCTTAGGTGGAAGCCAGTGTTCATTTACCATTCTGAAAATCCTAGGGCCCTTAAAAATTATGCTAATCTACTGTTTGTACTGTATAAATGGAAACAGAATTACTGACATAGAACCTACCCCTGGTGAAAGTCCTGTGAACACAGTTGAAGTGAAAACAAAGGATTTAGAATATCACATATACAGTAGGTGCAGTGGCTCACACCTGTAATCCCAGCACTTTGGGAGGCTGAGGCAGGTGGATCACCTGAAGTCAGGAGTTCAAGACCAGCATGGCCAACATGGCTGAACATGGTCTCTACTAAAAATACAAAAAATAACAAAGAGCAGATATAAATCCACTCATATCAATTATTACATTTAATGGAAATGAATTAACTCCTAAAAATCTGAGCACTGAGATTATCAGACAGGACTTTAAAATAAGAACTAGAAATCACTGCTCAAGGAAATAAGAGAGGACACAAACAAATGGAAAAACATTCCATGCTCATGGATAGGAAAAATCAATATTGTGAAAATGGCCATACTGCCCAAAGTAATTTATAGATTCAATGCTATTCCAATCAAACTACAATTGACTTTCTTCACAAAATTAGAAAAAAACTACCTTAAATTTCATATGGAACCAAAAAAGAGCCCGTATAGCCAAGACAATCCTAAGCAAAAAGAACAAAGCTGGAGGCATCACACCACCTGACTTCAAACTACTACAAGGCTACAGTAACCAAAACAGCATGGTACTGATACCAAAACAGGCATATAGACCAATGGAACAGAACAGAGCCCTCAGAAATAACACCACACATCTACAACCATCTGATCTTTGACAAACCTGACAAAAACAAGCAATGGGGAAAGGTTTCCCTATTTAATAAATGGTGTTGGGAAAACTGGCTAGCCATATGCAGAAAACTGAAACTGGAGCCCTTCCTTACACCTTATACAAAAATTAAATCAAAGTGGATTAAAGACTTAAATGTGAAACCTAAAACCATAAAAGACCCTAGAAGAAAACCTAGGCAATACCATTCAGGATATAGGCATGAGCAAAGACTCCATGACTAAAACACCAAAAGTAATGGCAACAAAAGCCAAAATTGACAAATGGATCTAATTAAACTAAAGAGCTTCTGCACAGCAAAAGAAACTATCTCAGAGTGAACAGGCAACCTACAGAATGGGATACAATTTTTGCAATCTATCCATCTGACTAAGGGCTAATATCGAGAATCTACAAAGAACTTAAACAAATTTACAAGAAAAAATTAAACAACCTCATCAAAAATTGGGCAAAGCATATGAACAGGCACTTCTCAAAAGAAGACATTTATGCAGCCAACAAACATATGAAAAAAAGCTCATCATCACTGGTCATCAGAGAAATGCAAATCAAAACCACAATGAGATACCATCTCACGCCTGTTAGAATGGCCATCATTAAAAAGTCAGGACACAACAGATGCTAGAGAGGATGTGGTGAAATAGGAATACTTTTAGGCTATTGGTAGGAGTGTAAATTAGTTCAACCATTGTCGAAGACAGTGTGGCAATTCCTCAAGGATCTAGAACCAGAAATACCATTTGACCCAGCAATCCCATTACTGGGTATATACCCAAAGGATTATAAATCATGCTACTATAAAGACACATGTGCACATATGTTTATTGCGGCACTGTTCACAATAGCAAAGACTTGGAACCAACCCAAATGCCCATCAATGATAGACTGGATAAAGAAAACATGGCACATATACACCATGGAATACTATGCAGTCATAAAAAAGGATGAGTTCATGTCCTTTGCAGAGACATGGATCAAGCTGGAAACCATCATTCTCAGCAAACTAACACAAGAATAGAAAACCAAACATCACATATTCTCACTCATAGGTGGGAGTTGAACAATGAGAACACTTGGCCACGGGGAGGGGAACATCACACCTTGTGGCCTGTCAGGGGTTGGGGGGCCAGGGGAGGGATAACATTAGGAGAAATACCTAGTGTAGATGATGGGTTAATGGGTGCAGCAAACCACCATGGCACATGTATACCTATGTAACAAACCTGCACGTTCTGCCCATGTATCCCAGAACTTAAAGCATAATAAATTAATTAATTAATTAAAAAAGAAAGTAGTATGTCTGTTTCTCCAAAGACTTTTACAATTTTCTGTTTGTCACTGGGTTTTTGGTGTTTTAATATGATTTTCTAGGTGATATCTTTTTCATTCATCATGTCTTAGATATATTGGACCCTGTTCATCTGTAGTTAGGGTCTTTCATCATTTCTGGAAAATTGCTAGCCATCTTCTAGTCAACTATTTCATAAATCTTGTTCTCTTTCTTCTCCTACTAGGATTTCAATTAAACATATGTTAGACCTCCTTGCTGCATTTGGAATATCTCATGATCCTATCTTACTCTTTTTAACCTTTCTCTTTGAGGTGTTTATATATATTCTTCTGTTTTCTACTTTGCTGAGCGGGAAGCTCAATGTACAGTATTGGCAGATACTCTTGGATTAAAAGTTATTTCTATTTTAACTAAACTATACTAGCTTGACACTGAAAAATGAATTACATTTATCATTTTTATCACATTCATCCAATGTAAGATTATATTGAGAATACATAATAATAAAATGTAAAATAGATCCCTATTTCAGAAATTTTAAATGAAAAAATAAATATGTGCCTCAGTGTCAATGAACAGTGATAATACTGAGGGAAGTAAATCCATTTCCAGTCATAGTTCTTTGTTCCTTGATAATGACACCTAAGGAAAAATAGAAAAATACATTTACAGATATTATCTAAAATAGTGAAAGGAGAGATGTAGGTCTTTGTGTTCTTTGTTCTTCTACACCTCATTTTCAGGCAACTCATATTTTAAGCATCCACCTGCTTCATCCTAATTTCTTCTCCTTTTGGAGTCTCGATGTATTTCTTTTACAACCATGATATGAATTCTGTGGCGTTTTATCATGTCTTAAACCTTGCAACTAATCCAAAACTAACACCTTCATAAAGAAATTTCTGGCAACAGAAATATGTGGAAATAGCTAATTAGGGAAGGAGGAGGCCTGTTGAAACAAAGCTATTGCTACAGAAGAGAAAAATAGTACTATTTTTTTTCATACTATACATCCTATTACGGTAGAGATAAATATTGTCTTATAAATACTGTAATGGTGAGTGATTATACTTCCCATTGAAGAATGAGTGAAATGATCATTTTTATTTTCAAATATACAGATTGGCTGCTCAAAATACTTTCCAACACTCATTTCCCCTACTAATTCTTTTATACTATTCAAGGAAAGACAATATTACTACCTAAACTCATGGGAAAATGATTTCATAAGAACACAACAAAAATAAATGGCTTACATATTATTATATATGTATAATAACATAAAATAGAATCACAATTTTAAAGAGCTTTCATATCAGCAACATGGCACTATTACAATGAGAAAACCTTTAATTATGTTGTAAAGGTCTGGTATTCCAGGAAAATGTCACTTCAGAATAAACTTCTAACAGTTAATTCTCAGTGATATTTAACTTGTACAAAAATTAAATATCACCATATAATCCTGTGATCATTTTATTGCTTTTGTAGACATTTCAATATTTTAAGGGTTTTTCAAGTAGCAGTGAAAAAAAAGCTTGCCACTAGCCCAATTCTTAGCTTTGTATGAAAAACCATATGAAATTCTTGTGCTTTGTTTTTACAAATAAAACTTTAAAAAACTTGGGAAAATATTGCCTTATCACCAAGGGACAAATGTAAAATTGTGCAGTGTATCTTAAGTCATTCAATTCCCAAGAATTAGTTTAATTAAATATGAAATATATCACCATATAAAATAAATGGTATGGCCCAGGTCCTATCAGAGACTCAATAAGACCATGAATAATTGTAGGAACTGATAACAGCTATTTCAGAAGTGAAATTTAGTGACTAATTTAAAGTTTATTAACGTTTCACATGTTTTTCAGTTGAAGAGATGAGGTTTACTTATTAACCGTAATATACTATATATTTTATATAGTATATTATATTTATATAGTATATTTTATATAGTATATTATATTTATATAGTATATTTTATATAGTATATAAATAAAAATGTTGACTTTATTGAGAAAAAGGATGCAAGAAGAAGTTATCATTGAATACTTAGTAAGAATTTGACTACTTAAGCTAGCCAAACTGAAATAAAAAAGAACTATTTTATCATTTGCGTATCAGCAAAATACAGTGTCGCTGGAACCTGCAGTTCTCATACTCTCATCTTCATCAACTTCTCATTGAAAAAAATCCTGATTCTCATTTATATTCAAGTGTAAATGAAGTAATCAAAATTCTTTGTCCAAAGTCGTGAAATATTTTGAATGAAAAATTTAGAGATATGAAGTCTAGACGTTCCTTGTTCAGATATCTCCAAATATGTGAGAAGTGATATTACCAGATAGATAGCCATGTCTATGCCACCCAGCTTTGAGCACCAATGCAGCAGTCAAAAATGAAAAAATGTAAGTTCTGTTGGTATACCAAGTATATTGCTGTTTTTTTTATTATTATTATACTTTAAGTTTTAGGGTACATGTGCACAATGTGCAGGTTAGTTACATATGTATACATGTGCCATGCTGGTGCTCTGCACCCACTAACTCGTCATCTAGCATTAGGTATATCTCCCAGTGCTATCCCTCCCCCCTCCCCCTACCCCACAACAGTCCCCAGAGTGTGATGTTCCCCTTCCTGTGTCCATGTGTTCTCATTGTTCAATTCCCACCTATGAGTGAGAATATGCGGTGTTTGGTTTTTTGTTCTTGCAATAGTTTACTGAGAATGATGATTTCCAATTTCATCCATGTCCCTACAAAGGACATGAACTCATCATTTTTTATGGCTGCATAGTATTCCATGGTGTATATGTGCACATTTTTTTAATCCAGTCTATCATTGTTGGACATTTGGGTTGGTTCCAAGTCTTTGCTATTGTGAACAGTGCCGCAATAAACATACGTGTGCATGTGTCTTTATAGCAGCATGATTTATAGTCCTTTGGGTATATACCCAGTAATGGGATTGCTGGGTCAAATGGTATTTCTAGTTCTAGATCCCTGAGGAATCGCCACACTGACTTCCACAATGGTTGAACTAGTATACAGTCCCACCAACAGTGTAAAAGTGTTCCTATTTCTCCACATCCTCTCCAGTACCTGTTGTTTCCTGACTTTTTAATGATTGCCATTCTAAAAAGCTTATCCACCATGATCAAATGGGCTTCATCCCTGGGATGCAAGGCTGGTTCAATATACACAAATCAATAAATGTAATCCAGCATATAAACAGAACCAAAGACAAAAACCACATGATTATCTCAATAGATGCAGAAAAGGCCTTTGACAAAATTCAACAACCCCTTCATGCTAAAAACTCTCAATAAATTAGGTATTGATGGGACGTATCTCAAAATAATAAGAGCTATCTATGACAAACCCACAGCCAATATCATACTGAATGGACAAAAACTGGAAGCATTCCCTTTGAAAACTGGCACAAGACAGGTATGCCCTCTCTCACCACTCCTATTCAACATAGTGTTGGAAGTTCTGGCCAGGGAAATTAGGCAGGAGAAGGAAATAAAGGATATTCAATTAGGAAAAGAGGAAGTCAAATTGTCCCTGTTTGCAGACGACATGATTGTATATCTAGAAAACCCCATTGTCTCAGCCCAAAATCTCCTTAAGCTGATAAGCAACTTCAGCAAAATCTCAGGATACAAAATCAATGTACAAAAATCACAAGCATTCTTATACACCAATAACAGACAAACAGAGAGCCAAATCATGAGTGAACTCCCATTCACAATTGCTTCAAAGAGAATAAAATACCTAGGAATCCAACTTACAAGGGACGTGAAGGACCTCTTCAAGGAGAACTACAAACCACTGCTCAATGAAATAAAAGAGGATACAAACCAATGGAAGAACATTCCATGCTCATGGGTAGGAAAAATCAATATCGTGAAAATGGCCATACTGCCCAAGGTAATTTATAGATTCAATGCCATCCCCATCAAGCTACCAATGCCTTTCTTCACAGAATTGGAAAAAAAACTACTTTAAAGTTCATATGGCACCAAAAAAGAGCCCACATCGCCAAGTCAATCCTAAGCCAAAAGAACAAAGCTGGAGGCATCACACTACCTGACTTCAAACTTTACTACAAGGCTACAGTAACCAAAACAGCATGGTACTGGTACCAAAACAGAGATATAGATCAATGGAACAGAACAGAGCCCTCGGAAATAACGCCACATATCTACAACTATCTGATCTTTGACAAACCTGAGAAAAACAAGCAATGGGGAAAGGATTCCCTATTTAATAAATGGTGCTGGGAAAACTGGCTAGCCATATGTAGAAAGCTGAAACTGGATCCCTTCCTTACACCTTATACAAAAATCAATTCAAGGTGGATTAAAGACTTGAACGTTAGACCTAAAACCATAAAAACCCTAGAAGAAAACCTAGGCATTACCATTCAGGACATAGGCATGCGCAAGGACTTCATGTCTAAAACACCAAAAGCAATGGCAACAAAAGCCAAAATTGACAAATGGGATCTCATTAAACTAAAGAGCTTCTGCACAGCAAAAGAAACTACCATCAGAGTGAACAGGCAACCCACAAAGTGGGAGAAAATTTTCACAACCTACTCATCTGACAAAGGGCTAATATCCAGAATCTACAATGAACTCAAACAAATTTACAAGAAAAAAACAAATAACCCCATCAAAAAGTGGGCAAAGGACATGAACAGACACTTCTCAAAAGAAGACATTTATGCAGCCAAAAAACACATGAAAAAATGCTCACCATCACTGGCCATCAGAGAAATGCAAATCAAAACCACAATGAGATATCATCTCCCACCAGTTAGTATTGCTGTTATTTTTAAAACGGGGATTCTATAGCAGTATGTGAATTGACTAAACCTATATGTTTGTGCTCACAAATTTCTTTGATTATATCAACCTGTGTTAGGTAATTTTAAATAGATAGAGTAGCTTTGGAGTAAAATCTATACATTCCAGCCACAGCCCCTAATTACTGATGATAGTTGTAGTGAGCTATTTTGGGTTTAGTCATATTAAGAAAATATATTTATGGGAGTATATTAGTGTCTGTGAGTACTTAAAGATGACAATTTGTGTTTCCTACGAATATATGAGAAATAATACAAATTGATCTTTAGAACACTTCAGCTAGGTAGAGACAATGCCAAATAAAAATATTCTAAAGTAAAAATTAAGTTTAAGCCCAAAGATGTATCCAGGGAAAATTTTTTTGGAGTTCCAGATAATAACCCTCTATCAAATGCCCAGTATTTGGAGAAGTCAGGAAAAATCTTTCAATAAGACAGAAGGGAAATATAGGACCGCATTGATAGCTGTAATCAAAATTCAAAATTCTTTCCCTGTGAGTTGGATTACATACAACTGATTCCTGAGCAGCTTTGACAAGACCTTGCAAGTTGGAGAAATCCTAATGGTAATTCAATTTGACATTTGGGGTTTGAGAATAACTAAAGCCAAGGAGCTAGCACTAAGCAGAAAATACCAAAAAGACCCTTATATATTCCTTTATTTTTCTTTCGTCCTTTTTTTTTTTTTTTTTCTTAAGACAAATTCTGGCTCTATCACCCAAGCTGGAGTGCAATGGAGCAATCTCGGTTCACTGCAACCTCCACCTCCCAGGCTCAAGTGATCCTCCCATCTCAGCCTCCTGGGTAGCTGGGACTACAGTCGTGTGCCTCCATGCCAGGCTAATTTTTGTATTTTTGTAGAGATGGGGTTTCGCCATGATGCCTAGGCTGCTCTCAAACTCCTGAACTCAAGCAGTCCACCCACATTGGCTTCCCAAACTGCTGAGATTATAGGCATGAGACACTGCACTCAGCAAGACCCTTATATAAACTTCCAGTTTCCTTCTCAGTTATAGAAATTAAACTCTATAACAGACCCACTTATTTCTTTTATTTTTTATGTAAACCCAGTGAAATAGGTACATTTATCTTTTATTGAGTTGAAATAATCTCCCTCAGCTCTCAAGTATATTTCTGATTCTTTCAGAAAAGTCTAAGACCTCAAAAGAAAAAAAATCAAAGGGTCTCAACTTTGTCATAACATTGAAGTTATAATATTGAAGTCAAGATATAAACGAATATAATTTCAAATGTTTTATCACAGTACCATTGTGATAAAAATAAATATGAAATAATTTGATGATGAATGGGAACTACAGAATAAACAAGATAGCACTGCATATTTTAGAAATTGTATCTGATAAAACTTTTAAAAACCCAAGAAAATTAACACAATTTTAATTTTGTATTGTTTACATAGAGATGATCACTATTTTATAGCTATATATTATTATGTTTTCATTTATCTGAGATTAACAGGAAGTATTGCTAGAAAATATAGTGTAGCATAAATGGATTAATACTTTCAAAGGAATTTATTCATTATGTGTTATCAATTTATCATGTGCATTTTTTCATGTGCATTATGTCATATATTTTATATTTTTCAAATTCTAAGTCAATCGATTTTCTCAGAGTATATTATACATCTCACATACACATGAACTCTGAAATAACTTATATCCACTTTTCATTCCTTATTTTAATTCTGCCCCCTTCTTCTTCATTTCCCATTCCAGGATAATTAAAGGAAGGACATAGCTGGTCTCTGATAAATATATTTGGCTAACATTTTAGGTCTGCTTGGGAACATCTGTCTGTTTTCCGTGTTATGTTTTATCAACTGTGGGATCTAAAAATAAATATTTACCAATATTCTCAGGGAATTAAAAAGTGGGAATCATGTTTTTATTTTTTTTTCATTGAAATACTGTATAAAGCATACATGTACATAACACTTATAAGAAAAAATTAATACAAAGAACTACAGGAAAATCTCTGTAATTACCATATAGAAAAAAAGCATAAAGAAATAAGCGAGATAGAGAACATCAATGCATTTTTACCCCTCACAACTTTCTGCTTCCTTGAGGAAATCAGTCTTCTGACATTTATGTTGCAAATTTCCTTCCTTTCATTCCTATTTTATCAACTGTGTCACCTTCTTTAAATATTATAGCTTAGTTTTGCCTGTTTTTGAACTTTACATAATTAGAATATATATCTATGTTATTTTGTACATTGGTTTTAATTTAAATTTTGTTTGTAAGGTAATCTATGGTAATATATGTCACTGTAATTTTTATTTTTATTTTGAATTATGTTCAACTATTTGACATTTTTTTTTTCCTGAGATGGGATCTTGCTGTGTCGCCCAGGCTGGAGTACAGTGGTGTGATCATAGCTAACTGCAGCCTCTAGCTCCTGGGTTCAGGCAATCCAGTCTCTCAGACTTCTGAGAAGCTGGGACCACAGGTGCTCACCAATATGACCGGCTAATTTTAATTTTTTTTGTAGAGATGGAGTCTCGCTTTGTTGCCCAGGCTGGTCTTAAATTCCTGAGTTCAAGCAGTCAGCCCACTTCGGCCTCCCAAAACACTGAGATTACAGGCATGAGCCACTGTACCTGGCCCACACATATTTATCCAGACATTGCTATGGACACTTAGGTGTCTCCAATGGGCCAATTGTAGGCAGACTGGATTATGCTATATGCCCTAGTGATATGTTAATGCATTGTTCTAAACTATGTACATGTGACTGGAATTCTTGTGTCATAAATCAGGTACACCTTCATTCATACTTGATGATTCTAAACATTTTTCCAAAGTGCTTTCATCAAGTTAAATTTCCACTGAATTTGCGTAAACAATTGCCTTTCTTCCACACATGTACCTCAGACACTCATTTTTAAGAAATATTTGCTCATCTGTAGAGTACACGACATCTTTAAATACATTTATGTGTCTTATCAATGAGACGGAACTCTTTTTTCATATTTTTATTTACCATTTCTATTGATCTGTTTCCTATTTTTTGTTGACATTTCTAGGAGCCCCTTTCCCTGCACTAGAACATATTTCAGTTTTGGATTAACAGACAAGTTTTCAAGAACGCATGTGAAAGATTGTTCGCAAAGGAAGCTCTTTTCCTTTTAAGGCTTCTTAATTTATCTCCCATTAGTTACAAAGATACCACTATTTATGTGACTAACACTCATTCTGCAGCACCAATGCCCCATAATTTAAAGTTTATTTATAAAATGAAATTTGGAGAGATTGGCTGAGTGTTTCTAAAAACCATTTTTTAAGAGATAATGCCTCCCTTAAATCTTTCTGCTGGTAAATATAAGAACATCCTTAGGGGAGGACTCGTTGAAGTTAGTCATTCCTTAGGGAATGCTGGAGCATAGAGGGGTTGAGTCACAGACCTGTTGTTAATCCTTTCTCTTCTCAGTGAATATTAAACTAAAGTGTAAATGTCAAGGTCAGGAACTGGAAAAGCACTCAGGTCATCAGCACATTCAGTGATCTGATTATTCTTGTATGTTTTTGGTTTCAAGATTTCATGCAAAAAAATGGCCAAGGAATTTACTTTTATAAATATTTAGATATTGCTATGGTCTCAATGTTTGTGTTCCTACAAAATTTATATGTTGAAACGTAACCGCCAAGTTGATGGTATTAAGAGATGGGGCCTTTGGGGGGTGATTCATGACTGCCTTAGTCCCTTGTAGCTGTTATATATAAATACCTTAGACTGGGTATTTATAAACAACAGACATTTATTACTTACAGTTCTAGAGGCCAGGAAGATCAAGATCCAGGTGCCAGCAGATTTCCTATCTGATAAAAGTTCACATTTTGCCTCAAAGATGAAGCCTTCTACCTGTGTTCTCACGTGGTGGAAAAAGAGAACACATTTACTCAGGGCTCTTTAATAAGGTCATTAATCCCATCCGTGAGGATGGATCTCTCATGACCGAATTAACTTCCAAAGGCCTCACCTCCTAATACCATAATTTTGGGGGTTAGGATTTCCACATATGAATGGCAATCATTGAGACCATAGCAGTGCCCTTAGAAAAGAGAACACAGAGAGCCAGCTCATTCCTTCTACCATGTGAGAACCCAGCAAGACGGCAACCTATATGAGGAAGTAGGACTTTCCTAGGTGCTGACTCGGCCAGCTTACTGATTTTGGACTTCTCAGCCTCCAGAACTTTGAGAAATGAATTTATGTTGCTTATAAGCTATTCAGTTTATGCTATTTTGTCATAGCAGCCTGAAAGGATAAGATAGATATTTAGTTAATTTTCAAAAGAGCTTGAACAAAATGTTTTATTGTTTGGAGCTGGAGTCTTAGTCCAAGTGACCTGACATGCCATTAAAAGAAACCACAACCCAGATGGAGCATGAAGAGTTATGTCTTTGCCCTGTCCACCTAGAGCTGTTGACCCTTACAATAGCCATCTTTCCAAACCCCATCCTTTATTTAACAGGGTAAAGAATATTTGAAATAAAAATTATTACTACAATTTTCCATGGGTATGCTACAGTTTTATTTATTGTTTCTTTAATTGAATCCCTTTATGATTTATATTCATTTCTGATTAGATGAAATCGACATTTAGGATTAGGAATTTTAGGATGTTGCCTCTGAGAGCACATTGCTTTCTAAAGCAAAGTACATTTGGATCATGAACTAAACTATTATAAAATAGCACCTATGTTTGATTAAAGAAAAATACAGCTAGAAATCTGAATGGAGGAAAACATTTGAGGTATTTGCAAGATCCACATACCTAACAAAGTAGTACTGGTCTTACCACCTGGCAAAGACATAAACAGGAGAGTTAATGAGCATCCAAAGAAATGCCAAAGCCAAAAGAAAAAGATATACTTTTTTCCTCCTGTTCTGCTTACAACTCAGCTTGGAGACTACGAGCCCCTATGTTGAACTGCCAGACTGTTCTCTCTGGTGTTGTAGAAGTTTGCTCCATCATTTCCTGAACAGCTTCCATACTTCCTGGAATTTCACAGCTGTGCATGCTCCAGACTAAATCTGGCCTCAGGAAGCCAAGCCTTCTACATGAGCCTTCCAACTCCTGGTAATGAAGTTTTCCAACAGGAATTAATTATGACAAGGAAATGCAGCTGCAGCATATTCACACTTGCTGAGATGAAATTTGAAAATAGTGTTGGTTCTTCCACTCACTGAAATTCATTCATCCCACAAGACAAAGATGGATGACTTTCAAGCTGCTTCAGGATGAGGCAAGGTAGTATATACTGATGGTTAAAAAACAAAACAAAATATAATAAATGGAATAACTTAAAGATTTACAACTTTTATGTCTTTATATACAGCATTAAAATGTAGCTTTAAATGGTTTTGTTATGCATCTTTTTTTCTTTTCACTTCTTTTTTATAGGCCTACATTTTTATTCAGTCATATTTCTTTTTCTTTTTTTAGCTAACTTTTCTTTTCTTTTCTCAAAAGCAATATTGATATTTTAAATTCCCAAATATAAGATACATGACCACATATGATTTAGTTAAATAAGGTAATTATTAGCAAAAGTGCTTGTATGTTGCATTTTTAGTTAAATTAAGGACATTGCATTTATTTTTTGTGTTCTATGTGTTGGAGTACAATGTATTTTGGTGAGTACCATCTTTGAAAAACTTTAGGAGTAAGCAAGGGAAGAGTGATTCATTAAAAGATAAAGGATTATATGAAGGAATAATTTATTATTAGAGAATATTATATATTACATCTTGAATTTAATGAATTCAACTTTTTCCTTTATTTGCCCATCTATGGAGTCCCTTTCCCAAATCCTAGTAATTACTTGTCTAATTGCTACATACTGTGTGTGCCTAAGTGAAATATTTGGAAATGTTAAACCTACTTAGAAGATTTTATCATGTGCAATAACTTGTAATGGCAACAAAATGCAATTACTCATTTACCAGGTCTTTTGTAGGCACATTTCAACCCCTTTGAGGAAATTTTCATGGCAGCTAATTGATATTCCCAAGTATTATTTTAGGAAAAACTGTGCTACTATGGAGTGCCTTTGACCTTCAACATAAGCTTGGACTCAATGAGTTAGCTCATCATTTGCAGCTGTAAAACTTCACCTCCTTCCTTAGGAGAGTCTTCTTAGATTCATAGTAATACAGGAGGTAAAAGCTTTTTTCTTAAATATATATAGGCTAATGTTTGCATAGGATTTAATAGTTGTCAAAGTGATTTCGCATGCATTCTTGAATCTCTGTAACAACTCTAGAGGTGGGAAGAGTAAGTATAGTATTTCTTAATTTGTAAATAAAGACACTAAAAATGATTAAAGTGACTTTCATAGGGTGCTATAGCATATATATCAGAACTAGGAAAAACACTCAGTTTTACTGATGCTTGCTATAATTTTTTAATGGAATTTTTCTCATTTTGTTGATTCAGTTTCCACCTCCATTGTATACATACTCAGTCTTTATAAAATTTATTATTCCTTGGTTTCTATAACACGTGATTGGATAAGTGTTCCTGTTCATAGACATCCTAACATGGTATGGAATTTCTGTCTACTGTATTATTCAAATATGTGCATTTTTAGATGCAAAGTTTTGCTTACATTTATCATTGCAGAGAGAAATATGTTTTATAAGACAAGGAAAATATCAGGGAGTAGAATCATAAAATAGTGTAAATTTAGTATAGTGGGTATTTGCTCTCCGTATTTACATTCATCCCCTTGTATCCATGGGGGATTGGTTTCAGGATCCCTGGCAGATACCAAAATACATGGAATTTTGGAATCCAAAATTTTTACACTTTCTTTATGTAAAATGGCATAGTACTTGCATAGAACCTATGCATATCCTTCTGTATACTTTAAATCATATTTAGATTACTTATAATAATACATTGTAAATTCTACATAGTTGTTATACTGTATTGTTTTGTATTTGCATTAGTTTTTATTGTTCTATTGTTGTTATGCGTTTATTTATAATATTTTCAGTGGGTTGAATCCATTGATTTGGAACTCGTGAATATGGAGGGCTGAATGTATTACCTTTTAGATGAACCCATGTTGTCAGTACCTGCAATTCAGCTGATCCCTACCCAGTTATCAAGGATAATAGGTGCCCTAGTGATGGTCAATTTGAGACCTCTACTTGTCTGGCTCTAGCACTTTTTTCAGGCTGTGAAACAAGAGAGTTATGATAACTCAGTCATCATTAATCTGAAACCATTTGCTCAGACTCTTTGGAAAAAGTTATATTAGTCAGGGAATACATAATAATTTCCTGACTTCCCACAAAAGGATGTGTATACCTACTTATATATAGAGAAAGAATTGTTATAAGGAATTGATTCATCAGATTGTGGAGGGGTAGAAACCTAAAACCCAATGGGGAAGGCCCACAGGGTGGAGTTTCAGAGAGGAGTTCCAGCTGGAGTCCAAGGCAGTCTGCTTGAGAATTCCCTCTTGCTCAGGGCAGGACAGTCATTTTTTTTATTATTATCATGATTTTTAAATGAATGGATGAGGCCCTCCAACAGTATGAAGGACAATATGCTTTATTCAAAGTTCACCAATTTGAATGTTGATTTCATCCAAAAAAGCCACCTTCACAGAAACATCTAGAATAATGTTTGCCTAAATATCTGAACATTGTTGCTCAGCCATGTTGACACATAAAATTTACCATTACAAGTGTGTTCTATTTTTTTTCTGGTATTGATATCTATAACCACCCAATGAAACCAATGGCAATGAAACCATCTTTGTTATCAAATAGAAAAATGTTGCCCCTCTTTAAAAACCAGCATATTGAAAAGCAGAGCTCACAGACTAGGATGTGCATTAAAGAAGGGGAGAAAGAAAGAGAGAGTAAGATGAGGAAAGGGATTCAGTCATTTCTAAAGTTGGTTGACAGTTTATTATTTGCAGTTAAGTGAACATTTTTCTTTATTTCTTCAACTTGTTTGAACTGTGGTTTTCTAAAGGAGTTCTGGGCAGTGTTAGATTTAGCAGACCTCTCAGCTTATTCCTTCAAATTTATAGACATGAAAGTAAATCCAAAGAGATAAAGTTTTGGGGTTTTTTTTTTGTTTTACCTAAAATAACCGCATAACTTCTTGCAAATTTTAGACTGGAACCCTAATCTCGAACTCTGAAACCACTGTTGTTTTTTGAGCAGTATGAAAAGTATTATAGATACCTAGTGACTGCTTATTCTAGTTGATGTATAATGCTGTTAAATTTGGCAATTTCATTAAAGCAAAAATAAATACCAGGCTCTTTTTCATGCCATTCCTTACCACTTTTGCGTATGGGGAAAGAAATTGTTCTCCAAGAGGTAGGTACTTCAAACAATCTTTCTGCTCTAGAATTAAAGGAAATTGAAGGAATCGTAAAATCTTAGAACATAGGATCAATCCTGTTACTTCTCATTCTAGGGAGCTTACTGTGTGGTGCGTCTCATCTTAGAATGAGTCCTCCCATTAGGGAAGAACAGGTTTGTGAAAAATATATACAGTGTGACAAAGTCCACACTTTGGTAGAAAGTGCAATAATGACAGATACACCTATCTGCTAAGACAGGCATCATTTCCCAGCAAATCAGCCATAAACCAGTATCACGGACAGACTAACAGAAACCAGGGCTCATCTAAAAGACACAAATAAGTTTTAACCAGGATCAGGATTGTTACCAAAAATAGAGGCTAGATTTGAAGTTAAATGTAAGAATTAAGAGGATTATGGTCTGGAAAAAGTTGGCCCAGGAAGCAGGGAAACAAGAAGGCTTTCGTTCTATTGGAGCTTAGGTGGGAAGCCATGGAGTGTGTGAAAGACAAAAAAATATACCTTCCTGGGGAATAAATTTGACTCGTGGAAACCGCATTTTATTCATGCCAATGTATCAGGAAATAAATGTCATCATTCTGCTTTGGATAAATACATTTCCAGAAGATCAGAGAGAGAGAGAGGCAGATGGAAAGTGTCTCATGCTTCAGACTGGTAAGCTCATACCTGACAAGGTGCCATCTCTTCTAGCATGAGACAGCCTCAAAAAATAAGGAAGATTTCAGATCCTTTGCTAGGAAACAATATTTTAAAAATAAGAATTAAGAGGAAAACTCAGATTTACTGAGTGTTCACCATATGGCATTAAATAAACACATTTAATCCTCGTAATAACACTTTGGAGTAAGAAATCTAACTGGGGTGGGAGTGGAAAAATATGAAACTTGAGATAGCAATGGTGTAATTGGCCTTGGATCATCTGACGCCTACTTATATCTTCTACTTTTTTGTATCCTCCACAAATATTGCTGACCACTCTAGAAATAAATTCGGTCTTCTTATTATGTCCTCCCTTAATGTCATATGTTCCTCCTTCCCTCCAGTTTTCACACTTGTAAATGTTAAACCATATATTTTCAATTACCCCTGGATATCTATAAGCCACATAAGATCATAAGCCATTCCTGGTTTTTGCGTCTTTTGTCTCTTTATCTCTAATTCTTAGCACAGTACATAAAATACAGCTAGCATTCATAAATAATATTTGACTTGTAAACTCTGGCTAACAATGTTCTTTAGAAGTTCCATGGATCTAAAGACCACTGTTTCCAAAACTGATGTAATACGTAGGCCATTTTACTGGTTAGTTGTGTCCACCAACTTGACTGGCTAAGGGATGCCCCAATAGCTAAGAAGGCATTATCTCTGGGTGTGTCTGAGAGGGTGTTTCTTTTATTATTTTTTTATTTATGTATTTGAGATGGAGCCTCACTTTGTCACCCAGACTGGAGTGCAGTGGCACCATCTCAGCTCACTGCAACCTCTGCCTCCCAGGTTCAAGGGATTCTCCTGCCTCAGCCTCCCGAGCAGCTAGGATTACAGGTGTGTCCCCTCACCCCAGGCTAATTTTTTTATTATTTTTTTTTTATTTTAAGTAGAGACAGGTTTTGCAATGTTGGCCAGCCTGGTCTCAAACTTTCAACCTCAAGTGGTCCGCCTACCTTGGCCTCCCTAAGTGCTATGATTACAGACATCAGCCACCATGCAGGACCCTGAAAGCTTGTTTCTGAGAAGAGATTAGCACTTGAATCAGTAGAGTCAGCAAAGAATATCACCCTCCCCAGTGGGAACTGGCATCATGTAATCCACTAGAGGCCCAAATAGAACAAAAGGGCAGAGGAAGGGTGAATCTGCTGTCTGTTCTGGAGCTGGGACATCCATCTCTCCCTGCCCTTGGACATCATTGCTCCTGTTTCCTGGGCCGTCAGACTCAGACTGAAACTACACCATCTGCTTTCTCCTGGGTCTCCAGCTTGCAGGCAGCAGACTCACCTCTCAGTCTCCACAACTGCATGAGCCAATTCCTCATAATAAATCCGTTTCCATATATATCTCTCTCCTATTGGTTCTGTTTCTCTGGAGAACCCTGGCAAATACATTGATATAATGTAAAATGTGGGACTTCTACCACCAGTCATAGCAGAGTAACTGGTAGCACACTAGCCTGTCCATTGTAAACAAACATAAAATTGGAGAAATACAAAGCAATTGTTTTCAGAGACTAGACAATTGACAGTGTAGAAATGTAATTCCTGAAGGAAAGAAAACTCATAAGGTGAGTCTCCAAATTGTCCTGGCTTTTTGCCTAGGACAGTTTCCTGACTTTGTGGCATCGAGCTGGAGTCCAAGCAGTGCACAGTGTTTGAAACATGTTGAGGAGGCAGAGATCAGAATTTAGGGCAATTGAAGTGGTCGGACTTTGCAGAGCGGGGCACAGAATGGAGGGACAGACATAACTGCATAGGTTGGGGTGCTCAAAAGCTCCTGTAGGGGGTACCTTAAGCATTGGCCTGACGGATAGGCTGCTCATATGTAGGTGAAATTACCCAAGCCTAACCAGCTGTTATAGGATTGAGACACTAGAAGACAAGGATTATCCGAGACCTTGGATTTCCAGGCTACCCAGTGTGAAGAGACCACCTTAACCTCTCCTTCACGCTGTAGGCATCCAGCTGAGACATCAGAAAGACTTTCCTTAAGAGTAAGGGTCTTGCTATGAGAAACTGAACTCAAGATTTTCCCGATCAAAGTCTAAATCCAAGCCCTCACAAAGCTCCACAGGGAGACAGAATTCAGAGATTGAGCTGGCTAAAAGCTTAAGAAGTGCTTGAGATTTTCACAGATCTCCTAACAAAGCACAAACTCAAATGCATGCAAGTCAAAGCCCTTTAAATACACATAGAGCCACATAGGTGAGAAAAGATGCAGTGTGGTGTTTATGACCAGTCCTAGTGGAAGAATTTCAGTGCAAAACCCTGCTGAAACCAAAGAGAAAAAGAAAATCTTGAAAGCAGGAAAGGAATAAAGACAGAGTGCATACGAGATAACAAAGTCAAAAATTATATCTGACCTTTCATTGTAGACAATAGAGAAAAGAGGATAACATAATGAAATGTTAAAGGCCTAAATGAAATAAAACAAAAGAAAATTTTAAGTCCCCAATTCTATAGTCAGCAATAATAACTTTCGGAAACAGGAATGAATAGAATACATTTTGAAATGAGCAAATGCTGAGAAAATTAATAGCTAATAGAAAAACACTATAAGAAATGCTAAAAGATATTCTTCAGGCTGAAAGAAAATAATAACAGATGGAAAGTTGTATCATTAGATAACACAAAGAGCACAAGTAAATATAAAAAGAAAATATGTTATTATTTTTCCTAGTTATAAGTTTCTCTAAAAAACAACAGACTATTGAAAGCCAAAGTAATAACATTGAAAAGTGGATTTTATAACATACATAGAAATAAAATATATGATAAAAATAACAATGATGCTGGGGTGAGATAAGTCAACATGGTATAGTTTGTTTATTATATTTGTGATGGAATGTAAAGTTGGAAGTGGGAAATGCCAAATGTATTGTAAAAAGTGTGAAGTAGGAAGAAGAAGGTATCACGGATGAAATGTGAAGTGGAACAGTACTGACTCTAAATGAACTCTGATAAGTTAAAGGTTTGTATTGTCAGCCTTGAAGCAAACATACACACATGCACACACACACACAACCAAAAAAAAAATAGGCTCAAAACTGCAATTAATAAGTCTATAGAGAATACAAAATAGGCTATTACACATATATTCCTGACTCTGGACAGCTGAAGAAAATGGCTGCTACCTGTCTGTGTCACCAAACACACCCAAAACAAAACTAACAAAAGGATAGATACTCTACCCCAAACCAGTACCCTTGGCATAAATAGCAGACAGAAAATGAAAAAGGTTCAAAATAACTATTAATAAAAAATTTAAAAAAAATCACAAAATCCCAGCAAGCACCTGCTCACACACTTCCTGCCAGTCTTTATGGCAAGGCTCTAGAGGCTGTCCAAGGACAACCACAGGGAAGAGAAGAGCAGGCAGCTAGCATCTGGCCTCAAATTTCTCTAATATTACCAGCAGAAAGGGGAAGTCCACCCTGTTAGGAAATATGTCCTTGTAAATCAGAGCACTGATACAGGGGAAGGGCTTTTGATTATGTGTGATTTGATGTGATTGTTTTTGAAAATGTGAAGTTATAAGACAAAAGCCCCTACGAAGGGGAAGCCCCCTTTGCCAACTGTACGGTGAAGCAGGAGAATGGAGCCAAGGGGGAAAATGTAGGTCCAGACAGACCCAGAACAAAGAACAGCCAGATATCAGTGGACATTGAACACCTCGTTCCAGCACCAAATAATAAAAATACAATGGAAACTGGACTTTACTCCTAAAAGAAGAAGAAATCAATAAGCAAGGAATCTTATAAATCACCCAAAATCTAGAAAATGAACAAAAGAAAAATAATAATCTGATGCGAAGTAAACATAAAATAATTAGCAAACAAGATTTCTCACATCTCTGCTGCTCCATTTCCCTTCAAACCCCACGCCGAAATAATGCAGAAAAAGCTGTAAGACAAAACTCTAAATTAAATGCAATTTAAAAGGTATTTGGATATGCTGCAAACCACCTTGCATCAAATATTTTAACAACTAAGAAGTAAATATTATAGATTAAACAGAGAAAAGAAATGGAAGAATATGACAAAATGATCTCAGAAAACTAAGACTAAATTACAAGATTTGCAAAGAATAGACTTAAAACCATAAGAAAGATATTGATAAGATAGTGAAATAACTACAAACATGAAAATTAAACAAAGAAATAAGAAAAATAGGTAGAAAGTGGTTAAAATGAAAATTAGGCCAAAAAATACTCATGACATTCATGTAATTAGATTATTTAAAGAAGAAGATACAGACTTAATTGTATAATTAAATAATACTTTCCAGGTATAAAAGAAGACATAAAGAATGTACATATTGAAAATACCCATTTGGTACCTGAGAAAATTGATTCACAATGATAAAATCCAAGACATAGCCTAGTACACCTCTTAAATTCTAAAAGAATACAGAAAACAAAATAGTATCTAAAGAAAAAAAGGAAAACATACTGGAATCAGACTTTTCAAAAATAATATGCACAGAAAGGCAACAGTAGAGTAGCATTTAACAACAACAACAAAAACCCAATGAAAGGAAGTGTGGACCAAGAATTTTAATTCTAGCTAAATTGTCAGATAAATATCAAGGTTATAGAAAAGCAGTTTTAAATACAAAAACTTAGGGATTCCTTATCCACATGCCTTTTTTGAGGAATATCTGAGTGTGGATTTTATCTAAACAAGAGATCATTTGAAATTCTTAAGCAAAAGAATTTATGATGCACACTTGGACATATGTAATTATAGCCCTAAAGATAAATTAAAGGGTAGATGATGGAGGAAAATTAATGTATAAATAGTACATGGTGAGTCAATGTAAATATGATGCAGCTAAAATATGGGGGAAAGAAAGAGGGAAGGAGGAACATAGAAAAAGCCCACTGTTGAGTAAGCCATACATAGAAGTTAAAATACGTTATGAAGAACAAACAAGGGAACGCTTCCAGCTTTTGTTCATTCAGCATAATGTTGGCAGTGGGTTTGTCATAGATGGCTCTTATTACTTTGTGGCATGATCCTTCGATGCCTCGCTTGTTGAGTCTTTAGGGTTTTCTAGATATAAAATCATATTATCAGCAAAGAGAGATAATTTGACTTCTTCTTTGCCTATTTGGATTCCTTTTATTTCTTTCTCTTGCCTGATTACTCTGGCTAGGACTTCCAGTACTATGTTTCATAGGAGTGGTGAAAGTGGGCATCTTTTTCTTGCTCCAGTTCTCAAGGAAAATGCTTCTAGCTTTTGCTGGTTCAATATGATGATGGTTATGGGTTTGTCACAGAATGCTCTTATTACTTTGAGATATGTTCCTTCAATGCCTAGTTTGTTGAATGTTTTTATCATGAGGGATGCTGGATTTTATCAAGAGTTCTTCCCATGTCTATTGAGATAGTCATATGGATTTTGCTGTAAATTTTGTTAATGTCGTGAATCCCATTTATTGATTTGCATATGTTGAACCAACTTTACCTCCTAGGAATGAAGTCTATTGATTGTGATGAATTAACTTTTTTATATGCTGCTGAATTTGGTTGGGTGGTATTTTATTGAGGATTTGTGTGCGTGTGTTTCTTAGGGATACTGCCCTGCTGTTGTCTCTGTTGTGTCTTTGCCAGGTTTTGGTTTCAGGCCAATGCTGGCTTCGTAAAATTAGCTAGGGAGGAACCCACCTCCTCAATTTTTTGTAGTTTCAGTAGAATTGGTACTAGCTACTCATTGCACTTCTGGTAGAATTTGGTGAATCCAGCAGGTCTGGGGCTTTTCTTTTTATTACTGATTCAATTTTGGAACTCAAGATTCGTCTGTTCAGGGTCCCAGTGTCTTCCTGCTTCAATCTCAGGAGGTTGTGTGTTCCCAGGAATCTATCTTCTGTTTCCTCTACATTTTCTAGTTTGTGTGTATAGATGTGTCCATAATAATAGTCTCTGAGAATCTTTTGTATTTCTGTGGGATTAGTTATAATGTCACCTTTGTCTTTTCTGATTGTGCTTACTTGTATCTTCTCTCTTTTTTCCTTTGTTAATGTAGGGAGTAGTTTAATTGATACTTATTTATCCTTTCAAAGAACCAACTTTTAGTTTTGTTGATTCTTTGTATGAATGTTTTTAGTCTCAGATTTATAGAGTTCCCCTCTGGTTTTAGTTATTTATTTTCTTCTGCTAGTTTTGGGGTTAGTTCATCCTTGTTTTACTAGTTCCTCTAGGTGCGATGTTAGGTTGTTAATTTGAGATGTTTCTAACTTTTTCAGGTAGGCATTTAGCACTATAAACTTTTACTTAATACTGCTTTTGCTGCATTTGAGAACTGGAACAAGACAAGGATACCCCCTATTACTGCTTCTGTTCAGCAAAGTACTGGAGGCCCTTACCAGAGCAATCAGGCAAGAGAAAGAAATAAAAGGCATCCAAAAAGAAAAGAAGTCAAACTATCTCTCTTCACTGATTTTATCATTCTGTGCCAAGAAAGATGCCACCAGAAGCCTCCTGGAACTGACAAGTGACTTCAGTAAAGTTTCAGTAAAGTTTCAGGATACAAAATCAATGTACAAAAATCAGTAAAATTTCTATATGTTAACACCGTTAAAGCTGAGAGCCAAATCAAAAACACAGTTCCATTTAAAGTAGCCCAAGAAATACCTAGGAATACATCTAATCAAGGAAGTTGAATACCTCTGCAAGGAGAACTACAAAACTCTGCTAAAAGAAATCATAGTTGACACATGGAAAAACAGAAAAACATTACATGCTCATGAATTGGAAGAATCAGTATAATTAAAATGGCCCTACTGCCCAAAGCAAGATACAGATTCGATATCTAATTTCTTACAGATTCTTCACTCTAATATTGAGAATCTACAAGAATCTTAATTCAACAAACAAAAACCAAATACCTATATTAAAAAGCAGGCAAAAGGCATGAACAGACACTTCTCAAAAGAGAATATACAAACAGCCTACAAACATAAAAAAAAATGCTCAACATCACTAATCATTAGAGAAATGCAAATCAGCACCACAATGAGATAGCATCTCACACACCAGTCAGAATGGCTATTATTAAAAATTCTGAAAACAACAGATGCTGGCGAGACTGCAGGAAAAAGGGAACGCTCATACACTGCTGGTGAGAATGTAAATTAGTTTATCCACTGTGGAAAGCAGTTTGGAGATTTCTCAAAGAACTTGAAACAGAACTACGATTCAACCCAGTGAATCCATTACTGCATATATATCCAAAAGAAAATAAACTGCTGTACCAAAAAGACACATACATGTGTGTGTTCATTGCAGCACTATTCACAATAGCAAAGACATGTATTCAACCTAGGGTGCCATCAACAGTGCATTGGGTAAAGAAAATGTGGTACATATACACGATAGAATACTACACAGCCATAAAAAAGAATAAAATTATGTCCTTAGCAGCAACATGGATGCAGCTAGAGGCCATAATCTTAATCAAATTAATGCAAGAATAGAAAACCAAATACCAAGTGTTCTCACTTATAAGTGGTGGCTCAATATCTGGTATTTATAGACATAAATATGGCATCAATAAACATTGGCGACTAACTGGGGAGATGGCCAAAGTTTGAAAAACTAGCTGTTGGGTACTGCACTCACTAAGTTGGTCATAGGATCATTCGCATCCAAAACCTCAGCATCACGCAATATCAAACCTACACATGTACCCCCAAATCTAAAATAAAAGTTCAAATTATAATAAAAAATAAACTTTGCAAACCTCTATACAATTGCATTTTAAAATGTAGATTGACATAACTACAGATAGAGTATTTGAACCTCACAATTTCCAAGTAACCAAGGAACTACTCTATAAAAAGAATCTGTGATGCCTAATTTTGTGTATCAACTTGGGTAGACCATGGTATCCAGATATTTAGTCATACATTATGGTATATATTTCTGTGAATGTGTTTTTTTAGATAAGATTAACATTTAAAACAGTAGACTTGGAGTAAAGCAGATGACCCATTTCTAAATTGAGGAGATCTCATCCAATCAGTTGAACACCTTAGCAGAAAAGAAACTGAGCTCCCTTGGGAAGAGAGAACTCTGCTGGCAGGTGTCATTCAGATGAACTGCAACATCAACTCTTCCCTGGGTATTCAGACTGCTGGTCTACCCTGCAGATGTTTAGACTTGACAATCTCCGTGCTAGTGTAAGCCAATTATTTAAAGTAATAAATTTTTCCTTTATCTTTTTCTCTCTTTCTGTACATATAAAAATTATATATGTATGTAAAGTATACATATACTCTATATGTATATTATATGCATTATAAACATATAAATACATCTATTTATTTATATATTTATACTCATATATAAAAACACACACACATACCTTGTTGGTTTCTTATCTTTGGAGAAACCTAACATGAAATGAATCCCAGATGTTTCACAGAGAAGTTTTTCCAATCTTCTATGTCCCAATAAGCCTGAAATTACTTCAGAGCTTTGAAAATAAAGAAAATTTTACTATTTTATTTTTTGAAGCAAGTATAACCTTATTATCTAAATCTGAAAAGGCTAATATTAAAAAGAAAACAATAGATTTATCTCATTTTTGAATATCGATGCAAATGTACTAAATAAAATATTAACAAAATCCACCACTATATTAAACTAATAACACACTATGAGAAAGTGGGATTTATTCTAAAGGTTTAAAGTTGGTATGCTATCAGGAAATCCATTATTATGATACATTGTTTCAGTAGATTTTTTTAAAGGAACGAGTTGTAACTATCTACATAGATGCTGAAAATACTTTTAGCAAAATATAACTCTCATTCTGGAAAAAAGCACTCAAGAATATAGGAATTCGTGGCTGCTTTCTTAACACAATGCAATATACATGCTTAGTCCTAAAGCCAACATTATACTTCATCAGAAACAAAAGTAAAAGAAACTAGAGGTACTTCTAAAACAAGGAATGAGAAAGGGATGCCCAATATTTCCATAGTTATTAGAGGTATGAGTCAGTGGAACTAAATAAGAGACCACAATTAGAGTCATGATTGTTAATGAAGAAGAAAAAAGATACTTGCAGATGATGTACAAGTACACCTGAAAAACCACAGGGAAACAATGCTAGAACTAACTCAACCAACAAAATAAGTAATGAATATAGCATGATACAAAAATAATGTATAGAAATCAATACATTTTTGTAATAAACAATAACTAGTTTTTGGACATAATGGTAGAGAAAACCCCATTTATAATAACAAAGATAATCAAATACTTAAGGATAAAGTTAATAGGAAATGTCCAAAGTGTTTATAAGGAAAAATTTAAAGTACTCCTGATCAACACAATGTTAGATTTGAACAAATGAATAGACATCCCTTGATCCTAACAAGCATGACTCAACACCTTCAAAATGTTAGTTCTTCCTAAGTTAATATAGCACTTTCTTTCATAATAAAAATGCCAACAAACCTGTTACTTTGGAACTAAACATGCTGATACCATAGTTTATATGGAAAAAAATCTGCAAAAAGAACAAGGAAACCACTGAGAAAGAGAAATAATCCAAAGGACAACAGCCCTTTATCAGCCTTCAAACCATTCAGTAAAGTCTCATAATTAAAACTAGAGCATAAGTGGCCAGGTTACGAGTGAATAGAATAGAAACCCTAGAAATAGATGTACATAGAGTACATAATCTATGTGGCATATCATGTCAAAAAAGTAAACATAATATTTTTAGTACATGGTCAGAAAGCAACTGGATGGTCATTAAAGAAACAATAAATTAGATTTTTACTTAACACCATATGCAGCAATAAACTCCAAATTCTCTCTTTTGGTATAAGCTCAAATTTTTGTTAAGTTGTTTGGTCTTTTCCTGTGCTGCCTTGAATTCATTCAGTGCACATTCTGAAATCATGCCCAGCCATAGATTTGAGCACACTTCTATGCAGAATTTGGAGTTCCCTATCTCTAGCCTTTCCCTGCCATTACTTCCTCCTACCCTCCAGTGGCTATTGTGTCTTTCAATTCTGTCTGTCATCTTTTCCTCAAATCAGAAGGATCATAGGTTATCTATTAGAGTTTCAGATGTCCTGTGAGCACAGACTTCAAGCTGTGGATATTTTCTTGTAATATTGATATATTTTTGTTTTAATGCTTTTTAAAATATTACTATGGTATAAGGGATGACTTAACTCCATTATCATCCATGTTTTATCCCCAGCTTACCTTTGTTATCCCCACATGGGAAAGTCAGTTGCCTCAGAAGCATATATTTGATAATCCTTTGGGAATGACAGTTTGCCATTTAACAGCACTTTATGTCATGCTACTCTAGAAATCTTCGGGGTCTATTTCTCATTATTATAAGAATTTTTAGTTTTGTTTGTGTTCTTTGAAAATGTATTCAATATGTGTCTCCTAAATCTTCAAAACATAGGTGATTACTTTTTTATAATATAAAGTTGCAACTGTTATGCAGCTATCTAATCAATTATAGAAGTTTTGTAATTTTTTTATAGGGTCAATTTCCTTTTTTTTTTGAGTGGGCGTTATTTTTATAAACTTTATAAGACCCAGTATAACTTAGTTCTCTTCAGTCTAGAAAGTCCTTTTTCTGTAACTTCACTAGTACAGATGTCACTGTGATGTTACTGCGATTGTATTTTTCCAGCCCATGCTTTAATCCTCGGAATTAACAAATATGGTTTTAACAAATTATGCTAATTATCTGAAATAGTCTATGCCTCTTCCCAAGAACCTCCTTACTTCTTTCCAATAAACACCTGGAAAGCTGCTGTACTTTGTTCTAGGAACCAAATAGCTAGTCATAAATAATAATCTCCACAGATGAAATGTAAAATTATGTTTCTCATTTACAGTTTACAAATCATTTACACATATGTAGTTACATTTTGACTTGTATGATTCCAGAGACATACAAGGTTTTAGATCACTGAGGTTTTGTCTTCAGATTGAAGCAATTAGTTTACATGACTCCACATTTCAGGACAAAAATGGGAGGGAGTGAGTAATTTCTTTATATATAGTATCTTAAAATAAAGAGACTGGGAGATAATGAAAAAAGATGAAAGGCTTTTAGGGAATCACACCTAATATATTATCTTCTTTATTTTACAACTTTGCCTCCTTGTAAGTTCAGAAAACTTTATACAATAGGTTTAGCAAATGAGTCTTGAAAATAAAATTGTTCTACTTAATTTTGAAAAGATACTTATCAACTCATAGATGGGTGATAGATCGACAGACAGATAGGTGAGTGTTTCCATCTTTAAAATAGGTAATACTGCACTCACATACATCCACTAGAGTGCTGTAAGTAATAGCCCAAGGAAATGATTATATGTCACTTCATAAGTGTAATGTGTGGCAAAAATACAGCATCTAAAGTGAGAAAAGTGTAAAGTATAATTCAAGTACAAAGTGTGATACACATATTTAATATGTCAGGAACCTAGTCCTGCAGGTGTTCAGAGGTAAACAAAAATTTCAAATAAATGTGCTGTGCTGGGAAGCATGCCTTAATGTCCCACTGGGTTGACTGAAGGCATAAAGAATGCTGACTCTTGTCTTAACATGGAAAACTACACCTGCTGTGATTGTTTCTTAATGAACCAGCCCTTAAAAAATTCAGCCCAGTGACTCAACGTTGACTAGGAACTGGGTAGAGAATAGCCCCTCTAATTTTCTCTAAATTTAACAGCCACTAATTGCATTGCAAGACCCCCCTCCTTTGCTGATTACCTTTGAGTGCTCCATGAGATAAGGTGCTAATGAGATTTTCAGTCTTTCTTTTTTCTTTTTTCTTTTTTTAGCAGCACTATTAAGGCTAGTGTATTATGCAAGATTTACCCCCACTGACTCCAGTCCTGTCTGTTTCTCTTCACATGTATACAGAAGGTGATTTTGTTTTATGGAAGATGAGGATTAATTCTCAAGTGAAGATGCTTTATTTCTATCATTAATGAACAAATTGCTTTTTTACAAGGCTTGACTGTAAGAGATTAGCTATTCCTTTCTGGTTATTTAGAGGCCCTTCAGGCTTTCTTTGGGGATCTCATTACTTTCTACAGTGCTTCAAAAAGAGATTAAAGAGTCCTAAAGGATGCTAACATACACATAAACCTGAATATGTTATTCTTTTTGGAAAGAGAATAGGGAAGGAAAGTGGAGGCATGTTGTTTGGGGAGCAAATAAAAACCTAATATATTTTATCCATGTGAGAGTTGTGGCACCTCATTCCACTATTAAACACTCATGGATAATTTGCTTCATTTATTAGACTTTTAAAAGCTGCTAGAGGTAAATAGTAGACGTTATAAAAATGACTTTCTTGTAATTTTCTTGATTATCAGTTCATGAATGACTATTCACCGTGCTTTCAATTATCAGCATCAGAATTCTTACCATCACTATCAGAACGATTAATATTTACTGAACAACTACGATAGCCATAGAACTATGCTAAGTGGGTTTACAGTCTTATTTAATCCCCCAAATAATCCCATGACATTATTTACACTGTTACCCTCATTTGTAATTGAGGAAACTGAAGGTCATACAGTCAGTAAGCATGGAAGCATAAATGGAAACCAGTTCTGTCTGACTTGACAACATTCCAACTTAATTTGTTTTCAAACACATGGATAAAAACTCAGAGTTATCCTACTAGACACGCTGATTAAGACTAAGCTTTGCTACTGAACCATCCATTTTTGTTTCAATTAGTCACAGTCCATTTGGAGGCAAATTTCATGGCAGCCAATTACTAGGTTGGTTGAGCAAACTATTTGATTAAGCAGGAAGTAAACGTCAACAGCTTGATTTTACTAAAATTTAGTGATCTTTAACATATGGATTGTGACATCTTCTCTGACGGTAGCACTGCCTCCTTGTTTACAAGGGGATCTTGTGCAGGGTCTTTGTTCTCAGGCTAGTTTCAGGAGAATCATAGAGAATATCGTTTATTGAGTGCTTACTATGAACCACTCACTGTTCTAAATCCTTTACATAAATTCTCTCATTTATGGATTAAACAACTTTATACAGTAATAATATAATCAACTCCTTTTCACAGAGAAGGGAAACAAGATACACAAAAATTAACTAACTTGTCCAAAATCCCAGTCAATTTCAGAGCCAAGATTCTAACGCAGACAGTCAGATCTTGTCAAGCACTCTTGCTCTAGGCTGCCCCTCAGTTGATGAGAACACCATCCCTTCCAGGTGCTCAGGCCATAATTTGAAGCTACCTTAAACTCCTCTTTCTTTTCGTATGCCACATTCACTCCAACAAAACTCTACTGTGACCAAAATCTCTTGAATCTGACCATTTCTTACTATCTCTGTTGCCTTTGCCCTGATCTCTACCCTCATTTTCAACTAGGTTTTTACGGTATCCTCCTGTTTGCATCTTTCTGCTTGGTTCTTATCTTGCTGCAGTCTCTTTTCAAAATTTTGCTATATTCGATAAAAAATAAAAATTCAGAATACTTTTGGAAGATCAATGGACATTCATTTACGAATTAAATGCTGCCCAAATGACCTCCCAATATCACAGGTAACTAGTGGAGAAATGAGAATCCAGAGAGCCTAATTCATAATGATAGGTGTTTTTTATTATTAATTCTACTGGACATTCCTGTTTCCCATTCAGGATACTTTTGGGGTAGTATTCTGGTTATCCTTTTAGTTTACTGTCAGTCAAAGTGAATCCTTGATTCCAAACAAACCAAAACAACGAACAGACAAACCAGTCAGAGGAATGATCTGTGTAGTTTATGCAATTGTGATGTAATTTTTCTTGCCTTAAAGATATACTCAGATTAATATTTTATTTAGATAGCTAATTCTACCAAACTGAAGTCATACCAGTTCTGCACTGTCTGCTTTTAAAGATCTGAATCCACTGTGTGCCCTGCCTCACCTCATACCAAAATCAGTTTCACCAGTGTGGGCTTTAGTCTTCAGAATACTCACCTCCCAGGGAGGCATCCACAGAAGATCAGCACCTTGTCTTGATTGTCTTGAAGTTATTATGTTCATGCGATCAGAATCTAAGTGAAATTACTTTGTTAGAGGTGCATAATGCCTGAAACTGGCTTCTGGGCAAGGCTTCTATTAAATAGCAAGATTTTGGAGATCTGTAACAGAAGGTATATTATATTGGTGCATCCTAAAATGCGTGATGGAGATTTCCAAAATACCATCAAATTTGATATTGCAGTAGGTGGATAATAGTGTCTCAAAACAATGAACAATATTTTGTAAGAGAAAATAGAGGGAATAGAATATATAAATTTATTTATATATTAAGATTATATATGTTATATTCTTCATTATTGCATACTTTATATTATAGATACGAATTATTTATCACTTACATGTTAAGTAAATATCCTTAGGTGAATTTTTAAAAGTTCTTTATCATTTATTGTGCTTAATAGGTATCTTCAATTTTAATGGAATCAAATTTATCATTTATTTCTTTTAACGTGGACTTTTTTGTTCTGTTTAAGAAATCCTTTCCTACTGACACATAATAGATATTCACCTGTGTTTTCTCCAAATGTTTTTAAATTTGGTTTTGATACTTCAATTTTTCATCCATTTAGAAACATTTTATAATGTAAGAATTCAATTACATATTCTTCCCTTAATAGAAACTGATTGCTGCAGTCCCATTTATTAAATTATCAATTATTTTTTATTTGCTTACATATGTGTGTAGATCTAAGTGTGAGTTCTCCATTCTATTGCATTAGTCTTTTTTTCTTTTTTTTTTTTTAATTCCTGTGCTAAAATAACTCTTGATGTCTACCCCCTTCAAAGGTGCCTGGCTTCTTCATGGTTGTTCTTCTGTATACATTTAAACATCAGTTTACAAGTTCAACAATGACTCCACTCAAATTTGAGAGCTGGGTGAATGTTGCATAGACTCTTCTTTCAATTTGTAAAGAATTGATATATTAAAAATATACTTGTGAATATGGCATATTTCTTCATTATTTAGGTCAATATACTTAATCTTAATAAGATATTTATTAAAATTTTACCAAAATAAGTCTTGTCCATCTTTTTGTGGATATATATGACACTTGTATATAATATGACACATGAAATGACATATCTAATACATAATACATCATATATAGCCTATGTTTGACTACATATAATGTACATTTTGAAAGACTACTTATTTTAACAAACATACATTTGCTACTGCAAATTACACACAAATATATGGTTTATGAAATAAAAAACTTCTAAAATATTTTCTTCTAATACTTTGTTACGCTGTATAGAAATGCAATTAATATTTATATTAATCATATTTCTAGCAACCTTCTTAAGCTCTTTTCTTAATTCTAAAATTTTACCAAATGATTCTGCTATATATTCACATAGGCAATAATATCATATGTGAATGATAATTTTGTTTCTTCCTTTAAAACTTACACATTGTATTCACTTTTTTCAGATTTATTGTACAATATAATCAAAATGGTAATATTAGCTCTTTTCTTTGTTCTCAATTTATTAAGTAGCATAACATTACCCCTTTGTTGAAATGGAACTAGCTACAACCTACTTATAAGGTTAAGTTTGTTTTGCTCCAAATGTTCCAGTTTACCTGATATTCAGTTAAATACTGTCTTCTGAAAACCTGTCTTCTGAAGCTCCTTTCTTCATCTGTCCATCTGAAATACTGCATTGCTTGATATGACATATATATATATATATATATGTTCTGCTTCCCTTGTCATTCTTTTTCTTTAATTACTCACCTTATTTTATTGAAAAATTCTGTTAAAGGTTAAATCTTTTCCTTGTATTTCTAAAAATATCTTTAACCTCTCAGCCACTGGCTTAATGATTTAACATGATATAAATTCACATTCTTGGACTTGATGCCTTTGCAAAAATCTGAGGTTATTATAATCCTTTCTCTTTGTAAAAAATCTTTGTAGTTTTCTTTAAAGTCAATCAGGATTTTTTTCTAACAGCTGCTAATGTAAAAAGTAGTTTAGAAGTAACTTCCCAAAAATTATTTTTGGTTTTCTTCTTCAATTTATATGCAATTTGTGTGTAGAAATTTATTTTGTGTGGTATGAATGTTACTTCTTTTCTGAAGCTTTTTAATCTGTAAGTATATAGGTAGGAACTCATTTTTATTTGTTGCATTTTTTACTTTGAAAAAAAAAATCTCATGAAAGAAACCATAGATGAGAAATTAATAAAATAATGAGATGCTAAAAGATTAGCATCTTAACCATCTTGCATAAATTCCTTCCACAACATGTATTGTTTTCTTAAGTGGTGTTTTACAATGAGATTTTTCATACCGAAGGTGTTTTTATGTAGACACAAAGTATTGGTTATTCTTTAATGTAGCAAAATCCCAGTGAAGATCCATATTCCAACCAATTTTCTGGCCTGTAATGCATCCCAAAGAGAATTTTATTTGCAATTAGATGTCAGTAGGAGATGAAACATACTACAGATACAGAAGGAAAAAAAAAAGAAAAGTCATTACAGTTCCTCTCTGCCAGAAGTATGACCTTTTTCCAAAAGAAAAAAAAAATAAAGATAAACATTCTAATTGTATCTTTGAATCACAAGACTGTTGAAAATACATTTGCTAAAATGAAGGGCAATTAAATGTTCCTACTAAAACAGTTGTTTGTGTTACAGGCTGTTTCTTTAGTTTAGTTTGCAAAAAATAACATCATTATGAGAGATAGAGATGATAAAATAAAATATATTAAGTCTCCCAAATAGCGCAAAATGATTTTTTTCTTTCATTGTTTTTTGTTTGTTTTTTTGAGGTTTTTTGCTGTTTCCAAACAGGCAGTTTTTAAGGAATAGAACATTAATATAATTAATTGAAGGATCTTTATAATTTGAGGTTGTATTTAAATAACCCTGTAGGGGAGTGAGATCTCTCCACTGAAATGGGACAATTTGCCACCTACAATAAATATGTTATAATCATTTTTCTTTCCAGTTTCTCTTGAATTTGCAGTTTACCCATACCCAACAGCCTTATTGGAAGGACTATACACAATTTTCATGGTAAGCATATTATGCATGTGTCATTAAAAAAGAATCATGGCCAGGTGCGGTGGCTGACACCTGTAATCCCAGCACTTTGGGAGGCCGAGGCGGGCGGATCACGAGGTCAGGAGTTTGAGACCAGCCTGACCAACATGGTGAAACCCTGTCTCTTCTTAAAAATACAAAAATTAGCCAGGCGTGGTTGTGGGCGCCTGTAGTCCCAGCTACTAGGGAGGCTGAGGCAGGAGATTTGCTTGAACCCGGGAGGCAGAGGTTGCACTGAGCCGAGATCGCGCCACTGCACTCCAGCCTGGGTGACAGAGTGAGACTGTGTCTCAAAACAAACAAACAAACAAACCGTGTTTTTGTAGAGGTGGAAATGGAATAAGCAGTGAAGAGAATAGGAAGGCACTGTCTGAATTTTATTCTACCGCCCTGCATGTCCCCAAAATACAAATACACATTATTTCAGTCTCCTTCCAGAGTTTGCTTAATTTCATTTTTCTGTGGGATAAGGTAAATAATTTCTTGTAAAACATTCTCTTTGCTGGGAAAAGCTAACCCGATGAACAAGGAAAAATTTCCTAAAGGTTAAATGACTGACTTTGGTTGACTTGATGTTATGTGCTTAAACTCTGTATAAACTTTTGCAAACATTTTCCATTTTCTCCAGCTAACATTCAGTTTATTTGAAGCAAGTATATTTGGAAATCTGGACAAACAGCAGGAAGATAGCCCAAGCAGTCATACATCCATTCACCAACTACCCTATCATTTAACACACCTCTAGTTCACACTGACTTCATGACTAAATTGTGAAAAATGTATTTACACTCTTATGAGTCCAAATGTAAAATTTTTTTTTTTACTTCCATTAATAAATATTCTTGGCCGGGTACAGTGGCTCACACCTGTAATCCCAACATTTTGGGAGGCCGAGGCAGGCGGATCCCCTGAGGTCAGGAGTTCGAGACCAGCCTGGCCAACATGGTGAAACCCCATCTCTACTAAAAATACAAAATAGTAGCCAGCATCATGGTGGGCGCCTGTAATCCCAGCCACTCAGGAGGCTGAGGGAGGAGAAACAGTTGAACCGAGAGGTGGTGGTTGCAGTGAGCAGAGATTGTGCCACTGCACTCCAGCCTGGGTGACAGAGCAAGACTTATTTCTCAAAATAAATAAATAAATAAACAAAAATAAATAAATATTCTTGAAAGCCTACAATTATTTTTCCTAAGTATTTTACTAATTGTTAGGCTATAAAAATTATCTGTCCTCAAAAATCTTACAATGTAGCTGAAGAAGCAATTCTTGTGCGGAAAAAAAAAAAAGCACACAAAAATCACTGTGAAACCACATGCTCTA